>NT_167245.2:983535-1157905 GCF_000001405.40 Homo sapiens
GACAGGGATTATCCCTGGTCGGGCTGTCCTCATCTGGCGAGCCCCTGAAAGGACTGGGTTCTTCCTGATCAGAGAGATTCACAGTGTGAGAGGGATTCAGTGTGAGGGGGTTCCTCCAATGTGGATTCTAAAAATGAAGGGGCTGTGTGGCAAAGAATGCTGGTGGGCACCAGGAATTGAGAGCAGCCTCTCTCTACCTTGACAGTAGGCAAGGAACAGGAACCTTAGTCCTACAACTGGCAGAAACTGAATTCTGTCGCCTCTGTATAAGCCTGAAGGAGGCCCTCAAAATGAAAACACAGTTTTGGGAAACCCTAAACAGAGAACCCTCCAATCATGCTCAGATTTCTGACTAAGGAACTGTAAATAAATAAATAAGTGTTGTTTGGTCAAGCGTGGTAGCTCATGCCTGTAATCCTAAGGTTTGTGGGAATGACACAGGAGGATTACTTGCAGCCAGGAGTGAGACTAGCCTGGGCAATTTGAGGAGACCTTCCTCTCTACAAAAAGGAATTTTTTTTTTTTTAATTTACCTGAGCACGGTGGTACTTGCCTGTAGTCCCAGGTACTCCAGACACTGAGGCAGGGGGACCTCTAGAGGCCAGGAGTTTGAGGTTGCAGGGAACCATGATCATGCAACTGCACTTCACCGTGGATAACAGAGGGAGACCATGTCTCTAAAAATAAATAAATAAATACAATAAATGGGTGTTGTTTAAAGCCAGTGTTTGTGGTAATTTGTTATGCAGTCATACAAAAGTCATACACAGACTCAACAGACACATGGAATGAATTTATAAATTGATAAGCACACTACATGAGTAAAATAAAATATTTCCTTTTTCCAGTATTTTTCATTTTATAATATTCCATGATGCGATTAAATTTTTATACAATCATATTTCATTCAACTAGTCAACAAAAATTAATTTAGTGCCTATGCTGAACCAGGTATGCCCTCATATGCTCAAGTGCCTGACATTCTAGAAGCTTCACAAGACCGAAGTGGAGCCACTGGAGTGTTTTAGGTGAAGAAACGACACACTTTGACTCACAGTAGCAGGACCACTGTGGAGAGAACACTCAGGTGGCAGGTAATGGAACAGTGCTAGAGCCACTATTCAGGAGTGACAGAGTGGTGGGGACTAAGGGAAGAGGAGGGCCTGAGGGATGAGAGGGACGGAGGGAAGGGCTGGAGAAGCAGGAGGTGAGGAGAAGGAGCAGAGGGACAGAATTTGAAAGCAGCAGAATTCTTAGCTTTAAACACATTGTTTTATAAATTTTTAATACATCCATCTACAGAGCCTAGCAGGGTGTTCCTTGCATTTGGCCTTTAACACCTTATGTGGGACTGCCTAAAAATTAATTGCTTTTTCTGCTTTTTTTCAGGTTTAAAAAAATACTAAGTGTTCCAATAAAACATGCACACCACTTAGATGCGGATACTTCCTAAAAACAGGAAGTGCATGAGCACTGGTGAGGGGCATTGTGACTGCGTTGAACACTTGCAACTTTGAGGTGAATGAATGTATTGGCTCCTGGTTGCAATATACAATCACACGTTGTGCTACTTTGTATTGTCAGGAGATGTCCTGGACTCCCACAGAAACTCAGGGCTATGGAATGAAGGTAATTTTAGAATACAACAAGAGTCACAGATACATAGTCTGGGAAAGCAAAACTTAGGAGCTCTGAGAGTTGTACAACTGTAATGCATTTAGACACATTTATATATCAAGGGGCCAAAGTAACAGTTTTTACACATAAGATTCCTGATTGGTCGGGCGCGGTGGCTCATGCCTGTAATCGCAGCACTTTGGGAGGCCGAGGCGGGAGGATCACGAGGTCAGGAGATCGAGACCATCCTGGCTAACACGGTGAAACCCGTCTCTACAAAAAAATTAGCCGGGCGTGGTGGCGGGCATCTGTAGTCTCAGCTACTCGGGAGGCTGAAGCAGAAGAATGGCGTGAACCCGGGACGCAGAGCTTGCAGTGAGCCGAGATCGCGCCACTGCACTCCAGCCTGGGCGGCAGAGAGAGACTCCGTCTCAAAAAAAAAAAAAAAAAAAAAAAGGTTCCTGATAATTCAGGGGTTACCAAGATTCTACTACTCACTGCAGCTAATAAAAAAAAAAAAAGAAAGAAAGAAACTGGTCTCTGTCCTATTTCATATGCTCAGGTACAACTTTTCCAGAGAAGAAGAGGAGGGGGGCGGGGAGGAGCAGGAGGAGGAGGAAAGAAGGAGGAGAAGGAGAAGGAGAAGGAGAAGGAGAAGAAGAGGAAGAGGAAGAAGAAGAAGAAAAAGAAGAAGAAGAAGAAGAAGAAGAAGAGGAAGAGGAAGAGGAAGAAGAAGAAGAAGAAGAAGAAGAAGAAGAAGAAGAAGAAGAAGAAGAAGAAGAAGAAGAAGAAGAAGAAGAAGAAGAAGAAGAAGAGGAAGAAGAAGAAACTGTCTCTAGACCTTCATTCTCAGGACAAGTTCATTGTCTGGCACCAAGCTCCTTGGGGTGAATTTTCTTCCAAAAGAGTCCGGGGAGTCCAGGTATGGAATGGGAGGCAGAAAGTTCAATCAAGGGACTGGGATTTCGGAATGAATAATGAAGGGAGATGGACTGGGTCCATGCCGAAGGTTTCTCCCTGGTTTCTCAGCCCCCGGGCGAAGACTCAGGGAGACATTGAGACACACCCTGCACAGGAGGGGGAGGGGGAGGGGGAGGGCAAAGTCCCAGGGCCCCAGGAGTGGCTCTCAAGGGCTCAGGCCCCGAGGCGGTGTCTGGGGTTGGAAGGCTCAGTATTGAGAATTCCCCATCTCCCCAGAGTTTCTCTTTCTCTCCCAACCCGTGTCAGGTCCTTCATCCTGGATACTCATAACGCGGCCCCATTTCTCACTCCCATTGGGCGTCGCGTTTCTAGAGAAGCCAATCAGTGTCGCCGCAGTTCCCAGGTTCTAAAGTCCCACGCACCCCGCGGGACTCATATTTTTCCCAGACGCGGAGGTTGGGGTCATGGCGCCCCGAAGCCTCCTCCTGCTGCTCTCAGGGGCCCTGGCCCTGACCGATACTTGGGCGGGTGAGTGCGGGGTCCAGAGAGAAACGGCCTCTGTGGGGAGGAGTGAGGGGCCCGCCCGGTGGGGGCGCAGGACTCAGGGAGCCGCGCCCGGAGGAGGGTCTGGCGGGTCTCAGCCCCTCCTCGCCCCCAGGCTCCCACTCCTTGAGGTATTTCAGCACCGCTGTGTCGCGGCCCGGCCGCGGGGAGCCCCGCTACATCGCCGTGGAGTACGTAGACGACACGCAATTCCTGCGGTTCGACAGCGACGCCGCGATTCCGAGGATGGAGCCGCGGGAGCCGTGGGTGGAGCAAGAGGGGCCGCAGTATTGGGAGTGGACCACAGGGTACGCCAAGGCCAACGCACAGACTGACCGAGTGGCCCTGAGGAACCTGCTCCGCCGCTACAACCAGAGCGAGGCTGGTGAGTGAACCCGGCCGGGGGCGCAGGTCACGACCACCCCCCATCCGCCACGGACCGCCCGGGTCCCCCAGAGTCTCCGGATCCGAAATCTACCCCGAGGCAGCGGGACCCGCCCAGACCCTCCACCCGGGAGAGTCCCAGGCGCCTTTACCGAGGTTCATTTTCAGTTTAGGCCAAAATCCCCGCGGGTTGGGCGGGGAGGGGGCGGGGCTAGCTGGGCGGGGCTGACTGCGGGGACCGGCTAGGGTCTCACACCCTCCAGGGAATGAATGGCTGCGACATGGGGCCCGACGGACGCCTCCTCCGCGGGTATCACCAGCACGCGTACGACGGCAAGGATTACATCTCCCTGAACGAGGACCTGCGCTCCTGGACCGCGGCGGACACCGTGGCTCAGATCACCCAGCGCTTCTATGAGGCAGAGGAATATGCAGAGGAGTTCAGGACCTACCTGGAGGGCGAGTGCCTGGAGTTGCTCCGCAGATACTTGGAGAATGGGAAGGAGACGCTACAGCGCGCAGGTACCAGGGGCCATGGGCGCCTTCCCTATCTCCTGTAGATCTCTTGGGATGGCCTCGCACAAGGTTGGGAGGAAAGTGGGCCCAATGCTAGGATATCGCCCTCCCTCTAGTCCTGAGTAGGAAGAATCTTCCTGGCTTTCGAGATCCGGTACCAGAGAGTGACTGTGAGAGTCCGCCCTGCTCTCTGGGACAATTAAGGGATGAAATCTCTGAGGGAATGGAGGGAAGACAGTCCCTGGAATACCGATCCGCGGTCCCCTTTGAGCCCTCCAACAGCCTTGGGCCCCGTGACTTTTCTCTCAAGTTTTGTTCTCTGCCTCACACTCAATGTGTTTGGGGCTCTGATTCCAGTCCCTCGGCCTCCACTTAGGTCAGGGCCAGAAGTCCCTGCTCCCCACTCAGAGACTCGAACTTTCCAAGGAATAGGAGATTTTCCCAGGTGTCTGTGTCCAGGCTGGTGTCTGGGTTCTGTGCTCCCTTCCCCACCCCAGGTGTCCTGTCCATTCTCAGGTTGGTCACATGGGTGCTGCTGGGGTTTCCCATGAGGAGTGCAAAGTGCCTGAATTTTCTGACTCTTCTCAGATCCTCCAAAGGCACACGTTGCCCACCACCCCATCTCTGACCATGAGGCCACCCTGAGGTGCTGGGCCCTGGGCTTCTACCCTGCGGAGATCACGCTGACCTGGCAGCGGGATGGGGAGGAACAGACCCAGGACACAGAGCTTGTGGAGACCAGGCCTGCAGGGGATGGAACCTTCCAGAAGTGGGCCGCTGTGGTGGTGCCTTCTGGAGAGGAACAGAGATACACATGCCATGTGCAGCACGAGGGGCTGCCCCAGCCCCTCATCCTGAGATGGGGTAAGGAGGGAGATGGGTAAAGAGGGGAACGAGGGGTCATGTCTTTTCTCAGGGAAAGCAGGAGCCCTTCTGGAGCTCTTCAGCAGGGTCAGGGCTGAGGCCTGGAGATCAGGGCCCCTCACCTTCCCTTCCTTTCCCAGAGCAGTCTCCCCAGCCCACCATCCCCATCGTGGGCATCGTTGCTGGCCTTGTTGTCCTTGGAGCTGTGGTCACTGGAGCTGTGGTCGCTGCTGTGATGTGGAGGAAGAAGAGCTCAGGTAGGAAGGGGTGAGGAGTGGAGTCTGAGTTTTCTTGTCCCACTGGGGGTTGCAAGCCCCAAGTAGAAGTGTGCCCTGCCTCATTACTGGGAAGCACCATCCACACTCATGGGTCTACCCAGCCTGGGCCCTGTGTGCCAGCACCTACTCATTTGTAAAGCTCCTGTGAAAATGAAGGACAGATTCTTCACTTCGATGATTATGGTGGTGATGGGACCTGATCCCAGCAGTCACAAATCACAGGGGAAGGTCCCTGCTGATGACAGACCTCAGGAGGGCAGTTGGTCCAGGACCCACATCTGCTTTCTTCATATTTCTTGATCCTGCCCTGGATCTACAGTTACACTTTTCTGGAAACTTCTCTGGGATCAAAGACTAGGGGTTTGCTCTAGGACCTTATGGCCCTGCCTCCTTTCTGGCCTCTCACAGGACATTTTCTTCCCATAGATAGAAACAGAGGGAGCTACTCTCAGGCTGCAGGTAAGATGAAGGAGGCTGATCCCTGAGATTGTTGGGATATTGTGGTCAGGAGCCTATGAGGGAGCTCACCCACCCCACAGTTCCTCTAGCCACATCTGTGGGCTCTGACCAGGTCCTATTTTTGTTCTACCCCAATCACTGACAGTGCCCAGGGCTCTGGGGTGTCTCTCACAGCTAATAAAGGTGACACTCCAGGGCAGGGGCCCTGATGTGAGTGGGGTGTTGGGGGGGAACAGAGGGGACTCAGCTGTGCTATTGGGTTTCTTTGACTTGGATGTCTTGAGCATGAAATGGGCTATTTAGAGTGTTACCTCTCACTGTGACTGATACGAATTTGTTCATGAATATTTTCTCTATAGTGTGAGACAGCTTCCTTGTGTGGGACTGAGAAGCAAGATATCAATGTAGCAGAATTGCACTTGTGCCTCACGAACATACATAAATTTTAAAAATAAAGAATAAAAATATATCTTTTTATAGATACAGGTAGATATGTTTTTATAGCATGCACGTAAATGTGTGTGTGTGTGTGTGTGTGTGTGAAGAGAAAGAGTGAATAGAGAGATTAAGATTCTTTTAATGGTGAAAAGATATACATATATTTGGAATTAGCCAGCTTGACTCAGTTTAGGTGATCCCAATTTTGGTGGCAACAACCAAAGCATCGTAGTCAGGAGCCAGTCGAACATATGCCTTCCTCTCTCCATCAGACTGAATCAGAGTGTTGACTTTGGCCACATCAATGTCACAAACTTCTTCACAGCCTGTTTGATCTGGTGCTTGTTGGCTTTAACATCCACAGTGAACACAAGTAGGCTGTTGTTTTCTATCTTCTTCACAGCCTACTCAGTGGTCAGCGGAAACTTGATGATAACATGGTGGTCAAGCTTATTTCTCCTGGGGGTGCTCTTCCAAGGATATTTGGGCTGCCTCCGGAGTCACAGTGTCTTGGGCCGCCGGAAGGTGGGTGACATGTGGATCTTGTTTTTTTTGTGGCTGTGGACATCTTTCAACACTGCCTTCTTGGCCTTGCAAAGCCTTCGCTTTGGCTTCGGCTTTAGGAGGGGCAGGAGCTTCCTTCTTCGTTCTTGGCACCATCTTATGAAAAGGGTCCAGATTAAGATTTTTGACTGAGTCATTCTAAAGTAAGTTGCAAGACCCATGATACTAGACCACTAAATACTTCATCACACACCTCCTAAGAATAAGAACCAACATTATCACACCAAAGAAAATAAATAATTCCATAATATTATTTAAAGTCCTTTTATGTTCAAATATCTCCACTTCTTTCAGTACATTTTTGTACCTATTTTTTATAGCTTGTTTTCTTAAAATGTCCACTCGTTGCCTTTGGTTATGTTTCTTTAATTACCTACAATCTATAACAATCAACCCATCTTTTTTCTTTTAGAATGGCATTACCTGTTTCAGAGATGAGGCCAAATACCTGTGGAATCTTCTCCACACTGAATTTATCATATTAGTTCCCCTGATGCCTTTAACTTTTTTCCTCTAACTGCTATGCCTCCTAAGGACCTATGTAGCTCTGGGTTAAACATTTGGCAGCAATGTTTACAGGAGGAGCTGTGACCGCACATTCATCACATCAGGAGGCACACAAAGCCTAGGGTTACCAGGACTCTTACTGACCCCATACAGCCAAATTTATCCTGACTTCCCAGAGATGCAGAACCATGGGCTGGGTGTTTAGTGGGTATGAGTGTGATATTCTGGCAATAGGAGGTTCTGCCACTCTCCCCATTCCTCACGAGCTTTAGTTCCCCATACCCTGAGGTTCTGAGCTCCAGACCTTCAACCATCAGGCCAGGCCCCTCCAGACCTAGACTCCCTTCCTGTCTTCTCCAGCCCCACTCTGCTTTGTATCTACTTCTGGATCACTTTCCCTCTACAGGCCCAGCTCCTGAGTGTCTCTACCTCTCAAACAAGTATTCTCATCCAGGAGCAATTTTCCCACCAGAGGACATTAGCTATGTCTGGAAAAATGTTTTGTTGCCATGACTGGAGTGAGGAGAAGGTGCTACCAGCATCTTGTGGGGAATGACCAGGGATGCTGAACATCCTGCAGTGCACAAGTCAGCCCAATCACCCACATAACAGATAATTATCCAGCCCCAATACCAAGATTGCCAAGGGTAAGGAGGCCTGCCAGGACTTTCTCTCCCTTGAGTACAAGCTTCCTTGAACTGAGGGACACCCTGAAGGAAAAGTGTGGTCCCACCCCAGTCATCTCTCCCTTCCCTGGAGCTCCATCTGTATGCCTGTAGTGCTTAGGCCTGTAACCTGGGGTCCAGGAACCCACCTTCCCATGAGACTGCATGCAGAAGTGATGATATGTGCACACATGACTTCATTACAGGGCATTGGATATTGATATTCATCAGGTCAGCTGGGGCCCAAGACACTACTCTTCTGCCAACAGGCCGCAATCCTCTGCATTAGAGAGAGGGTAAAGATTGAGGGAGGCCCTAACTTCAAACCTTCTATCACTGCTAGTGAAGTGCCAAAAAGAAGTGCAAGGTCATCTGCCCTTGTAGGAACCACACAGGAAGGCAGAGTGTCCACCAATGTCAAATTCCATCAAAGAAATAATATTTTGACAAAAAATGCAAGTCACCTTTCTAAGTCCCAGACAGCAGCTCAAAATAAAAAGCATTAAACCCCTCAAATCTTAGACCAGGTGAAATTATTGAAGCTGCAGTAAGGTCTTGTGGGACCTGCAGTTAGAGAGAAGGGACAACTCAATTTGGGACTGCAGCAGAAACCCCTACATCATGGGGTTCCTGGAAGGGACCCTCTCCCTTCAGCGACGCATTGTGAGGCCATTTCTAGGTAAAAAGGTAGAATTTCCTTGGATTCCTGAGGTTTATTTTACACTTACTGCTTATTCTTTGACTTTATAGAAGCCAACTTCAGTTTGAACATCTTGCAATTAATTTTTTTTGGCTCTAAGTGGAGAATTTGAACTTGTTTCTGAAGAAAACCAGGGGCTCCTTATGTGAGCAAGCAACCCTCCCTGTGGCCCCCTTATGCAATAAACATAAGCCATTGTGAGCCAGCAAAATTTAAAGCAAGGAAAGCAGTAAACCCTCCATTTCAGCATGTTTCAGCCTGTCTAGTGATGTTCTAGTCTTGCCTCACTCTTAACATTTTAAAATTTATAATTTTATTTGATTTTGATTTAATAAGAATTCATATGTATTCATTTCTTTTGGGTTTGTCACCAAAAGCCTCCTCCAATCACCTGTGGAGTAAAGACAAGTAAATAAATGCATGGTGTTCCCATTTATCAGTGCTCACTGCATCTTACAAGTGTATCAGCCCCACTTCAGCTGATAGTACCAGGAAACCTTAATACCCACATACAAAATAATGATGTTGGACAAAATTCATAGCATCACCTTACACCATATTCAAAAATTAACTCAATTAACTCAGAATGGTTCAAGGAACTCAACTTAGGAGTTCAACCTATAAATCTTTTAGAAGAAAACATTGAAGAAAATCTTAGGAACATTGGATGTGGCAATGGCTTCTTGGCTGGTGAGCAAAAGCACAACCAATAAAAGAAAAACAATAAATTAGACTATCAAAATTTAAAAACCTTTTTTATATATCAAGGGACACTATTAAGAGAGTTAAAAGAAAATGCACAGAATGGGAGGAAATATTTGCCAGTTATATACCTGATAAAGAATTAATATCCAGAATACATAAAGAACTATGACTTAACAACAGAAAAACAAACAATCTCATTCAAAAATGAGTGAACAACATGAATAGACAATTCTCCAAAGAAGATATACAAATGGGCAATAGGCACATGAAAATATGCTGAACTTCACTAGTCCAAATGTTGGCGAAGATGTGGAGAAGTCACAACACTTGTACACTGCTGGTGAGAGTGTACAGTGGTACAGCGACCATGAAAAACAGTATGATGCTTCCTCAAGAAAGTAAAAACACAATTTCCATAGGAGCCAACAATTCCACTTTTGGGCATATACCCAAAAGAATTGAAAGCAGGAACTCACACAGATAATTGTACACTCATGCTCGTAGCAGCACTATTCCCAATGGCCAAAAGGTGGAAGCAACCGAGTGTCCATCGGAGGATGATTAGATAAACGACCCATGGTGCACATAGCATGGAATATTATTCAGCCTTAAAAGTGAATGAAATTCAGGTTGCATGAACCTTGAGAACACTGTAAGTGAAATGAGCCAGAAACAAAAAGACAAATATAATATTTCACTTATGTGATGCAGCTAAAATAGGCAAATTCATAGAAACAGAGAGTAAAATAGAATTTACCAGAAATTGAGGGTAGGGAGAATGGGCAGCTTTGGTTTAATGGGTCCAGTTTCTGTTGGGATGATGAAAATGTTCTGGAAATGCATATTGGTGGTGGTTACACAACATTGTAAATGTGCTTTAGGCCACCGAATTGTACACTGAAAAAGTGGTTAGAAGGTAAATTACATGGTATGTATGTTTTACCACAATATTAACAAGTATATCAACACTAAATCCAATCACTTTTCACTCCTCTCCTGCCACCACCCGAGAGCCACCCTCTCAAGAATTGTAAACCAGAAGGGCTTTCCAGCTGGGCTGCCTGCTGCCTCTCATGCCCACTGTCCATTACTCACACAAAGGCAGAGTGAGCCTCTCAAACGAAAATTAGGACATATCCTATGAACACCTCAGCCCTTTTCTTTCCTAGGCACAATGAAACCTCAGTCTCTCACCGTTTCCTACAAGCCCCTCATCATAGGACCCCTGTGGCCTCATCCCGCCATTCTCAGCCCAGCTCACTCATCTCCACTCACACCAGCCTTTTGTCACTGCTCCATCCTGTCTCTGCTACCTGCCCCTGCTGTGACTCCCACATGCACCTGCTCCCCGGGGGTCCACATGGCTCACTCCTCACACCATTCGAGTCTCTGTTCAAATGTCCCATGGTCAAGTTCTCAGAAATGTCATGCCCAGTTACCTTTTCTGAAATCTATTCCCTGCCATTCCCGCCACTCCCACCAATCTTCTAGCCTAGGTGTATTTTTTATCAGTGGCAATTATCACTGATACTGTGACAGATTCTATTTGTTTATTGTCTGTTGGTGTATCAGGGTTACCAAGACAGAAAGACCCAATAGAGTAGATGGATAGATAGATAGATAGATAGATAGATAGATAGATAGATAGAGAGACAAGAGGGGATTTATTAGTGGAAATGGCTCACATAGTTATGGAGGCTGATAAGATCCATGAGAGGCCACCTGCAAGCTGGAGAACCAAGGAAGACAGCAGCCTGGCTCAGTCCAAGGCCAAAGGCCTGAGGGGCCAGAGGAGGAGGTGGGAGGATAAAGGGTTGACTGGTGCAACACTCAAGAGTCCAAAGACCATACAACCTGGAGTTCTGATGTCCAAGGGCAGGAAAAGTGTCCCAGATTGAGAGAGAGAGAGAGAGAGAAAATTTGACTCCTTTCTGCTTTTTTGTTCTATCTGGGCCCCTAGGTGATTGGATTGTGGCTGCCCACAGCGAGAGAGGATTTTCCCCGCTCAGTCACTCACATGCCAATCCCTTCCAGAAACACCCTCACAGGCACACCCAGAAATAATGTTATACCAGCTATCTAGGCATCCCTTAATCCAGTCAATATGACACCTAAAATTAACCATTACAGTCAGTATCACTGAAATGTATGTTCTTTGATAAAGGGATCTGGTCTGTTTCCTTACCATTGTTTCTCACCATCATAATCAGTAAATAGCTCTCAGTAAGTATTTGTTAAATGAATAAATATGTCAGTACAATCACAGTATGACAGTATAATAAGGCTTTAAAATGTTTAAAGCAGTCTCTTGTTTAATATTTATCACTTGAGTAGTCTATGAATTTATTTATTTTTGGAGACAAATTCTCACTCTGTAGCCTGGTCTGGAGGGCAGTGGCATGATCACAGCTCACTTCAGCCTCAACCTTCCAGGCTCGAACAATCTTCCCACCTCAAACACTGGGGTACCTAGGACTACAGGCTCATGCCACCATGCCCAGCTAATTTTTTTTTTGTATTTTTTGTAGAGACAGGATTTTGCCATGTTGCCCAGGCTGGTCTTGAACTTCTGGGCTCAGACAATCCACCCTCCTTGGCCTTCCAATGTGTTGAGATTACAGGCTTGAGGCACCGCACCTGGCCTGAGTAGTCTATGAATTTTTAAAATCCCAACCATAGGAGAATCTTTATGTACAAACATGCTTGTCAAAATATTACCTACAAAAAGATAAGATGAAAGCAGATGGATCTAAAAGAACTCAGTTACATCACCTCCTTATCTGAGATGGGATGCAGCTTGTAAAAGTGTGTCAACTTTTTAAATTTAAAAATTTTTTTAGATGGAGTCTCATTCTGTCACCCAGGCTGGAGTACAGTGGCAGTGATCTCGGCTCACTGCAACATCTGCCTCCTGGGTTCAAGCAATTCTCCTGGCTCAGCATCCTGAGTAGCTGGGACTACAGGCACATGCCTAGACTCCTGGCTAATTTTTTGTATTTTTTAGTACAGATGGGGTTTCACCATGTTGGCCAGTCTGGTCTCGAATTCCTGACCTCAAGTGATCCACCCACCTCGGCCTCCCAAAGTGCTGGGATTACAGGCGTGAGCCACCATGCCGGCCAAAAAAGCATGTAAACTTTATACAGAGTTTACAACATGGAAAACTACTTGTATAATAATACATTCAAAAAGCAACATTCAAGATAACCCATAACATATGAATGCAACCTTGTACAATAAAGATACCTATAAAAATATATACATAGAGAACAACAAAATGGGCCAGGCGCCTTGGCTCATTCCTGTAATCCCAGCACTTTGAGAAGCTGAGGCAGGTGGATCACTTGAGGTCGGGAGTTCGAGACCAGACTGGCCAATATGGCAAAACCCTGTCTCTACTAAAAATACAAAAAATTTGCTGGGCCTGGTGGCGCATGTGTGTAATCTCAGCTACTCAGGAGGCTGAGGCATGGAAATCACTTGAACCCGAGAGGCGGAGGTTGCAGTGAGCTGAGGTCGCACCACTGCACTCCAGCCTCAGTGACAAAGTGAAATTGTGTTTCAGAAACAAAAACAAAAACAAAAACAAAAACAAACCACCACCAACAAAATGGAAATCAGCACCACGCAAAGGACAGCTCCAGGGACCAACAGTCACACTGAGTCCAGGAAGGTTCAACAATACAATAGCAGTGATATTTTTGAGGGGAGACCTAGGTGGTATTTCTTCTGTGTATTTTATTTTTTTTTTAATTCAAGTAGGCATTGATCTGTGTATTTTAAAGTCTTCTGTGATCAAATAGATTTTCACATTTCTAATATTCAAAATAAAGCATTTGAAGTAAAATAACAATGAAAAGTGGCTGAGTGCACACCTGTAGTCCCAGCTACTCAGGAGGCTGAGATGGGAGAACCACTTGAGCCCAGGATTTTGAGGCTGTCGTGTGCTATTATCACACCTGTGAATAGTCACTTCTCTCCAGCTTGGACAACATAGCAAGACCCCATCTAAAATAATAGTAATACAAAGAAGTTCAGATCTCCTTCCAACCTCAGCCTAAAGCAAATTTCTCATTTGAAATCCATAGGGCAGAAATGCCGATTATGGCACCTCCAGAGAGTAGAAAAATATTCTTCCTCCACTCCATGACTCATCCTTTGGTTACAGCATTTAGCTGAGCAATGAAGTCAATGCTAAGAATACCATCAATTTATAAAATACTGATTATCTCATTTATAGACATAAAAATACTATAATTATATATATATATTTATGTAAAATTACCATCACACCTAAGACAGCGAGATGGATTTTTCCCTTCCACAGATGAAAATATGAGTCCCTGAGAACATAAAATCTTCATTTGAGCTCACTGAAAATGTTGGCCTTGAGAATTAGGAGACACTCAGTCTCCTGCAGGCCCCCTGGGCATGAGCCACACCAGTGGAGGCCACACAACAGCAGGAAGAGCAACTGAGAACCCTGGAAGGTTCACACTTGTAGAGGGTGCACATCCAGTGAAATGCAGTTGATGGATGGGCCAAGGTAATAATCCAGCTCCTTCCTTCAGCTGGGGGAGGCAGATGGGTGAGTCAGCTACGCATGAGGTGTATGGTGTTCCTAGAGCTATTGTTAGTTCCTCTGCTGTGAACTCCACCCCGGGCATACAAAAATTATATACTCACTGGTAAGCAGGATCCTTTTTAGGAAAGCAAATGACTTTCCTAACATAAGGTCAAACATTTCCCTCCAAATGAATCATCCTAGTTGGATAATCTCTTCACTCCCACTGAAATTGCCCCAGAGTTGCACGTGAGCATTTGGATCCAAGACAGAAAGTCATTTTGGGGGTTGGGTCTGGCTGATCTGGGAGTGTTGTGAAGAAAGGCTTTCTACTTACAGAAGAACAAGGGTGAGCTCTGAGTAGGAGATGACATCCTGAGGGGGAAAGACAGATGGGCAGATGCTCAAGCAAACTCAGGAGTTTACCATATAAAAGATTTTGGAATCTATTCTTCAGCCTCTTTTTTACTGTGATACAATATACATGAACACAAAATTTACCACTGTACCCATTGTACAATAGGTGTACAATGCAGTGACAATTAGTAGGTTCACAATGTTATGTAGCCATCATCACTCTCTAGTTCCAGAGTATTTCATCACCTCAGGGGAAACTCTGCACCATTAAGCAGTCACCCTCCATTTCCTCCTGCCACCAGACCCTGTCACCACAAGTCTGCTTTCTTTCTCTATAGATTGGTCTCTTCTGAAGATTTCACAAAGATGGGTTCATGAAATATGTATCCTTTTGTGGCTGATTTCCTTCACTTATCATGTTTTTGAGATTCAGCAATGTTGTAGCATGTATCAGTATTTCATTCCTTTTATGGCTAAATCATATTCCATTGTAGAAATACACTACATGTTGTTTATTCATTCATTAGTCAATGGGCATTTTCTTTTAAACCAAATAGGAAAAACAAAGGAAGAATTAAACACCAAAAATATACATGTTACTACTAGCTTTTATAGGACTACTATATATAGTACTATATATATATGCACACACACACACACACACATATAAACACCAAAAATATACATATTACTACTAGCTTTTATAGTATGACTACTATATATAGTACTATATATATAATTTCATAGTAGTACTATATATAGTTATATATATGTGGTACTATGTATAGTCATATATATGTATATATATGTGTGTATATATATATATATATATATATTTATATATATATAAAATCCATTATTTCTGAAGGAGAGTTTTTCCAGACACACAATTCCTGCATGACAGTCTTTTTTTTTCTGACCTCTAAATTTGTCAACATTCCAGTGCCTTCTGAACTCTATGGTTTCTGAAGAAAACTGGGCTGCAATCTTATTGAGGATCCATTGAACCTGAAAAGTTCCTTCTCTGTTATTCATTTCAATATGCTCTGTTTGTCATTGGCTTTTGACAGGTTGATTATAATGTTCTCTTGGTGTGGACCTCTTTAAATTTAAATTTTTTTGCTGCTTAAAATTTGTCAAGTTTGTTGGATGAATAATGTTTTTCATCAAATTTGGAAGGTTTGGAGTTATTCTTTAAATAGTCATTCTTCTCCTTTCTCTCTCTCCTTTCTTTGAGGACTCCCAAAGTGCATGTGCTTGATGTTGTCTCACAGATCTTTAAAGTTCTGTTTATTTTTCTTCATAATTTTTTTTCTTTCTGCTACTGAACTAGAGAATTTCAATTGTCTTATCTTCAAGCTTGCTGATTCTCCATTCTGCATGGTGAAATTTGCTCTGGAGCCCCTCTAGTGAATTTTTCATTTCAGTTATTGCACTTTTCAGCTCCAAACTTTTTATCTGGTCTCTTTGTAAAATTTCTACCTTTTTATTGATGTTCTCTATTTGGGGAAACCTGCAACCACCATCTTCTGAAGCTCTGCCCATGTCAAGAGGTCTGTGCATACCTCTCTCTTCCATCCCCCAGTTTTCCAACTTTATTTTGCTCAAGTTCCTGACTGACCAAGCAACCCATGAGCCACTGCCCATGACTCATTCATTCATGCACTACTGGGGCATCATTTCACACCCTCCACCTTGCATGGGCCTTTTTGGGTTTTGATTCCTAGTTCCTGGCTCAACAGCCATTTCCAAAGCTGTTCTTGTGTTAGCTCCCAAGCCTACTGCTCTTGTTGTAGATTCTCCTCTTAATGTCTGAGTCACAGCATTTATTTCATAGATTTTTAATAATTGGACTAATTTTTTCCAATGCAGCATTTCTAAGGACTTTCAGTAATGGAGATTCTATATTAGCTTAGAGAGAATTGTTTCAAAACATCAGTAATGTATACTTGAATGAAGGACAACATGCATGGAGAAAGGTGGACAAACCATAAGTGGGCCGTGGATTTTCACAAAGTGAACACTCAGGTAAATAGCAGCCACATCAAGGAATAGCATTGCCAGCCTCCAGGAAACACCACTGGGTTCTACTTGGTCATAAATCACCCTCCCCAACCCTAGAGCAGACACTTTCTTGATTTCTAATATGATAGATTAGTTCTGTCAGTTCTGGACACAGTCACTGCCATGTCCCAGGTCTTGCTGTGTGTGGTCACTATTCACTCCCGCGGCAGTCAGGTGCTCAGCTTTATAAATAGCTCACACTTCTTGTCTCTCCACTGTTGATAGACATTTGTGTTGTATTCAGAGTCTACAAATCGTGCTGCTATAAATAATATTTTCATATATTTTGGCACACAAATGCATGCATTTCTATTGGTATATAACAAAAAGTGGAATTGCTGGGTCATAGGTGATTAGAAACTTGGTTTAGTCTCTCAAAAAACAAGTTTCTACTGAATAGATAACTGGTGGAAGAGGGTAAATCTTTTATTTTAGAAATTATGCAGCTAGCATATGAAAAGAAATGAAAGACTGAGACTTTTGCAATTTGTAATGAATTAACAGATTTAGCCACTGAACAGCAATGGCAATTAACATCGCAAAAAAGAAATAACTAGTATTGAATTCTTCCTCTTGATGAAAAACATGATATAGTACCATCAATCCTCATGGCAAAAAAAAAAAAAAAAAAAACCCTGAATAGACGCAAACCTCTATAACAAACTACCAATTTACAGAAAATACAGGTCATAGAGATACATTAAACCACACCTTGGGGTGCAATCTGCAAAATGCAAAGGACAGGAAACTACCAGACAATATAAATTTCAAGCAGGAATCTATGGAATAAATGAGGATAAAAATATACTCTTAAAGGTAAAACTAAACTATAATTTTAGATGATAAAAATATAAAATTGTACAAAGAAGTGATGGCCATGTAAGCCAGGATGTGCTTTTATTTGAAGAAGAGAAGAGTTTATCATTGAGCTGGGGCAGTTGATGGGGCTTCTAGGTCAGCTGCCAAACTTCTCCCTCTCTCTGATGGTTAAAGGGTGTTTACTTTTGATTAAAGGGCACTATTTTTAGATCTTTTATCTTTTATGGTACCCGTGGGGTTTTTTATGACAAAAACACTAATAAAGAATAAAATAGTATGTGACATATGGTTCTTGTTCTGCACCAAGCCTCCTTCCCACCCTCCGCTCCAGACACTGAGCACCCAGAACTACTGGCAACCCCAGGATACTTGGCAGGGCTACCTTACATCTGGGTGTGTGTCCAGCTCACATTGCCAGAGGCAATGTCCAGGGTCTATTCTTTGAGGCCTAGATGAACCTGACAGGACACAGCTGAGGGAAAAACCTGGCCCCACTCTGGAGGCTCTGGCCATCGGTGTAGAGGGGACAGGTCCTCACCTCTCCACAGGTGCAGTTACAGTCAGAGCCTCTTCTCTGCATGGGAGTGAGGCTTGGTCCTTCCCCCGAACACGGGGACAGGGATCTCTCCAGAAGTGGAGATGACACCATTCCTCCTCTAACATGGTCCAATCTCGTGCTTGTTCTGCTTTACAGGAAAGTTGACTCATACTGGTGTCCAGTGAAGAAACCCAGGCGCATAAGAGGGACAGTTGGATCTCAGGTTTGTGCTTGATCTGGAAAAGGAAGAGCAGAGACCACTAGGAGGCACCACTGCACTGCTCATGAGCCCAGGAGGTGGATGCCCAGGCTGAGCTCAGGGTGGAGAGATGTCATTGCTCATCCTCCAGGTTCCAGGTGAAAACCCACCTGCCCAGCCCATCTGCTTCTCCCTGGTTCTTCAATTCTAGGGAGGACTGTCTTCTTCTCACCTCCCCGGACGATGCTTCTTGACACAGGAAAGAGGATGTGCTGCTAGGGTCATCATGTCCTGGTTTATTGTGTTGTCAGTAGAATGAAATCAAAATACATACTCCATAAATAATAAAATAACCCATAATAAGTAAACATTTACAATTTACTCACACCATTGAGGTTTCCTCCAGGTGTGAGCACAGCTGCAGACACACCTTGTCGCTTCAGTCAGGACACAGGACAGAGTAAAATGGGAAGAAACCACAGTCACTGCAGAAAGGGCCCCCATGGAAGAGGCCTGGCAGGGAGGCCAGCTGCCCCAGGGCCACCATATTTAGAGATGACTTCCCCTTTCTAGGCAGGACTGGGATTTTAAAATTCTTTTTGTATTCATAGTTGTTCTGAAATTGCAGGATGATGAGACCCAGCACTGGTGAGTTATACTGTCTCTTTCTTCCCTATTAAATTCTGTGCCAAACAGCACCTTCATATATTTATCTCCTCTTCCTGGAGAGAATAAAAACAATGGAAAAATTGAACCATACAAACATACTTTAAATATGTGCTGTCAGAAGTAGCTACTAAAGGATTAATTCCACCAAAGTGAGGGAAGGTTTGAAAAGAAAAACATTGTATACCCATATTCAAAGCAGCATTATTCACGATAGCCAAGACAACACACACCAACACATGAATGAAGAAAATGTGGTATATATCGACAACGGAATATCATTCAGCCTTAAGAAGGAAACCTGGTCACAGGCTGCAACAGGGATGAACCTGAAGGACACTGCTAAGTAAAATAAGCCAATCACAAAGAAAACCCAATACTGCACATTTCCATTTATATGAGGTGTCTAAACTGAAAGTAGACTAATGGCTGCTAGGGGCTCGGTGAGGGGGATGGATGAATGTTTGTTCAATGGGCATAGAGTTTCAGTGTTGCAAGATGAAAAGTTCTAGAGATCTGTTGCACAACTATGTATTTACAGTTAATACTGTACTACTGTATACTTTAAAATAGTTAAGATACCAAATTTTACATAATGTAGTTTTTGGCCCAAGGAAAAGACTAATTAGCCCTGTTACTAATTTAGGGAAAAAGTACATGAATTCATTAAAAATATATTAGTATGCGCTTACCTTAGATACAGAAAACTATGAGACAAAAAGAGAGATCCCTGCTACCCCAGCTATCACCCATGAACCAGGAAAATCAGCACCTCCTGAAACTAGACAGAAAGGCTCACAGGCCCAGCCTTGACATGTTGAATCAGTCTGCATTTTGGCTGGAACCCAGGTGGCTCCACTGCATGTAAAGCACCTTCCCAGATAGTGATGGAGGGAGATCCTAGGACAGTGACTCTGCTCCACGGGGAGAAGCCTCCAATCCAGATGGGAGCAGCCAGAAGGGCCCAGGAGGGACATTTCCAAGAAGATAAAATTAACAGAATGTCCAAAGTGTCCAACGTCTTGAAAGAATCATACAAACAAAAGAGATATCAAACTTAAATTAATGAGAGTTAATAAAATAAACAAAAACAAATACAAGTATTAACTCCAAGAAGAACCAATGTTGTACAGGCAGTGAAAAGTAGTCCAGTTGACATATGAGAGGATTAGTCATGGTAAAAGAAACAAGAGATGGCTGAACTAAACATAATCACTATATAAATATACTGGGAAGAGTGAAAGAGAACAAGTACTCTTAACTGTTGCATCCACCATTGCGCTGTGCAACAATGGGTGCATCTGAAAAAAATCAAGCAATAATAATAAAGAAATGGTAGTTAGAGATACAGAAGTAAAGTCAAAAGAATCAGCTAAAAAACTTGAAAGTGGTTGGCCCCTAGAAAGGCAGAAATTGAGAAGAGGCAGAGAGGACTCTCATTTTTCTCAAGAGATTCTGCACAAATATTTGACTCTTTCAATTATGCACAATTATAAATTTGATTAAAATAAAAACAAAAGCTTCAGTGAATATGCAAGTTTATGTCTAATGACAACCGCATTCAACAATGATATTTAAGGGTTAACTAAAATGTGAAAATACTTAAACATGAAACAGGCATGTATAAATGTGTTTTTGACACCAAACGTGAACACAAATGTGAAATAATACACCTGTAAACACATCTCTGGATAGATAGCCCACGATTGAATTCTCTACCCCACCTCCTTTACTGGTTGACCTGTGAACACAGGCAGGCAGTGGACCAGGACCCAACTAGGTTCCTTCATCCTCTTGCTTCTAGGCAGGGCTTGCATCCACTTTTGCTGCACAGAGGGCTCCCATCCCTGCCTTGGTCCGTTTCACAGGTGATCCCCTAACTCTCCCTGCCACCACTGCCTTACCTGAGTGGAGCTGAGGCTACCCTGACCAAGAAGAGCACCACCCATCTGTGCCCCAAGGCCAGAAAGTTAAAAGGAACCTCACAACAGGGTCAGGAACTATCCCACCTCCCCACTTACCAATCAGTCTGAACTGATAATGGGAGATGCTGATACTTGCTTTACTCATCCTCATTCCCAGTTCATTTATTCTTCATTAATTCAGTCCAATCTCCCCAGTGGTCACTTAACCCCAGAAGCAGACTGATCTCTATTCTTCTTAATCAGGAAAGTCCAAAGCACTCCCTGTCCTCTCCCTCATATCAGACTTCAGCTCTGCATCTGCAAGATGCAGAGGTCCTCTGCAAGGCAGGTGTCTTCCCACAGGGTCAGCCCCTAAACACTGGCTGCAGATGTCCCCCTCCATCCCTTCCCAGCCCTTTCTGTGTTGCTGTGAATCGTCCATCACCGAGAACTGGTGGGGAGATGCGGGGGAGGTGGGGAGATTTCTTTGTGCTGTGTCAAGGCATCAAGACAGACCTCTCCTTCTCTCTTGAACCTCATACTCTATCCCTTCCCAGACACTTGAAATAAAACACAGACCAGAAATGTCTACTTAAAGGGTAAATTTCTATAGTATAAAATTATGAAGACATAGTAGATATGAGGTAATGCATGAGAGTGTGACAGGGTGAGGGGACCTCAAGGTGCCAGGAAAGCTGGTCCTGGGCTCCCCAGAAGGAGCTGTAACCAGGACACTCACTCATAAATCTCATTTATAATAATAATACAATGACTGCATATGTAATATATTAAAATATAATCAAATGATAACAAAAATAATGTGGCACAGCTGCAAACCCCTCATATATACTAACGCTTTTCATCCACCCAACCACAAGAAATAAATGCTGTTAGTTTCCCCATTTCATAGATGAGGAAACTGAGGCACCAAGTGGGAAAGTGCTGGTGAGACCTGGGCAGGGAGTTGAATTCTGGCCATCTGGCTGCAGAGTGTAGCTGCCCTCAGTGGAGCCAGTAGACCCAGGAGTTGACACCAGAGACTGAAATCCCAGCTGTGCACTGCCCTGGTGGTCTCCTGTCCCAACCGGGCGTTGATCCGGGCCTTGCAGGCTCACGTGCTCTGGAGAAAATAGAGAAACCAATAAATGCTCCCCTGGGTGCAGAGTGCTGCTTTTTACTCCCTGAGGATTTCTCCCTCCTCGGTCACTCCAAAATCAGATTTACCCTTTCTCTGAGGGAAGATGATGCTCCCACATTTTTCTCCCTCCTATGGCACTTTTCCCAGCCCCTGCCAGTCCCCTCCCATGACTTCATGAAGATCAGCACTCGCCCTGTGCCCACTATGCACTCTGTAGGGACTGAAAGGGCCGCAGGACTAAATGACAAGACTCCAGAAGAAACTCAGTGCCCTCCCCTCCTCTCAAGCCTGGCCAGCTCGGACACAGTGGGAGGCCTCCCCAGAGAGAGGCCCTGGCTCCACGTACTTCCAGGCCTGGGCTGGGTCACACACAAGGCCTTTCTCTCCCTCTTTCCCCAGGCCCTCCTTTCCTGCAGAAGCACCTGCACACCAGGGCAGGCCCTGCCCACTGTGGGTTCCGCCCTCCACCTACAGCTCAGTGTTCCTCCCCTTCCAGTCCTGAGCAGGCAGCTCCTACCTGGAGAGCCCACCAGGAAGCCCAGCAGGCCTGTCAGGCCCAGGATGGAAACACGTGGCTGCCATGGGGTCTGCACCTGACCTGACCCTGGAGACCCCCTTGCTCAAGAAGGCTCTGCTTCCCTTGACACCCAGGTCCATGACCTGCACTTGGGATGCCCTGCTCCTGCCTGGTCCACTCATCCCTGGAAATCCAGCTCCACCCCAGGGCTGCTGCTTGGTGAGGCTGCAAGGCCTTCCTGTCTGGTTCCTAGCAGGGATTCCACCCAGGCCACTGCCCTCACACCCACAGAGGATCTTCTTCTTCTCCCTATGGAATAAGGGATTTCTTGAGACCCCTCAGCCTGAGGCTGCCTCCGCCCACTCTGCACCTGGGGATTGCCACAGCCACAGCCACCATCTCCCACATGGACCCTTCTAGAGAGAGAGTTTCAAATTTGAATTCCTGTTCCATTCAATATACTTTACAGCATCGGTATTGGAGGAAATCCTATTAAGAATATCCAGCTGAAATTATGAACATCTTTATTGGACATCAACATTGAAAGCAGGAATTTTGAGAAATTAGCATGTGATTTTCACAACCTTTTTCTGGCCAATGCCCCAGTGACCTACAAGGAAACCTTTACTGCCCACAGGGAACCAGAACTGACAATTCCTCTACGGCAGATGCTGCAGGTGAGAGCAGGAGCAACCAGACCTGCACTGCCCCTGCTGTGGGTGCCCCAAAAAACATGGTCCTGGGGACTGTGTTCCTGGGGGCTAGACAAGGTAACACTTGGACATATGATGAAAACAGGGACCACAGCTGCCCTGACAAGGAGCTGGTTCCTGCTTCCCAAATGGCCCAGGGATGTCTGCTTATATACTCCTCCATAACATCTGCACAGAAACTCAGGGAGGCAGGGCCATGTGGTGGGAACCTCCAGTGATGCAGAGGACATGATACCCCCAAGATAGCTCCTGGAGGAGGCCCATGGGGAGCTGCAAAGTGGACAGAGATGGCTGTGTGCACTCAGGACCCCCCCTGTTACAAGGGGACCTCAAAGGGGCTGCACAGGCAGGCCTCCCAGTCTGGGCTTCGTGGGTCTTTTTCTTGGTGTCCTCCTGATGGCTGGAGAAACAGGAGAGAGGGATGCAGAGAGGAAGAGACTAGGGGCACCGCCTCTCCTCGGATTCCTCTCCAGTTTCTAGCTCCTCCCCAGATCACAGCCGCCTTTACTATTTACTCCCACTGAAGCCATGATCATCCAGGCCCTCAGCAATCAGCACGTGATTCTCAACTCACCCCACCTGGACGCACCGTGGTGAGCCCAAGAAACAAGAGAGACCAGGATGGGGACAGAGCAGGTGCCACAGCCCTCCCTGCTGCCCACTCCTCACCTGCAGCAGGAGGAGGCCACCGCTGGACATTTGAGGGCCGTGGCCCAGCCCTGGCTTGGGCAGGACTTAGGGGTGTAGATGGAGATGTGGCTCCCATTCCCCTCCCAAATACCCCAATGTCCATCCCCTGTTCCAGGACCTTGTTACCTACATGTCTATCTGTGCAGGAGCTATGAGGGGACCCTGCTGCCCAGAGAAGAGTCCTTCCATCTCCAGCCACTGCCCCGTTTTCTCACCTGGACTCTGCAGCTGATGTTGTCTTCTTCTTGCACCAAAGGACACAGAGAATACTACTACTACTACTGCTAATAATAATAATGACAGTAGCAATAGCAGCATACAGAATGGCTGCCATTGACTCTGAAGCACCAGGGCCTTCTCTAAAAAAAGGGCCTTGTGACACACTGAGCACGCAAAGCCACAGCCGTCCCTGCTATCCCCACCCTGGCCTGACCTCCCTAGGTCGAAACCCTTGAGAGTTGCCCCTGGCTCACCAGAGGGCACAGGGTGAGTGCTGTGATTCCCTCTGTGTCCCATGTAGCAGGTGAACCTCTGCTCCTCTCCTCGGGGAATCCTGGTGGCCATGCAGGTCTGGTAGGTCCCATTCCCATTGGGCAGGACACCCCTAGACTGCTGGGCATCCTGGCTCAAAGATGCCTCATCCTGATGCCAGGTCAGAGAGATATTCCAGGGATAGAAGATGGAGGCCAGCACATCATGGTGACATTGCCTTCTAAGGCCCCACTGTGCATCTCATTCACTGTGGGGGTCATTGGAGACAAAAGGGCAGAGCCAGTGAGGCATGTGGCCAAGCCTTTCTCCCCTCTAAGGGAGATGCAGGGAACAGGACTGGTCCTCTCTATTGTTCTGACTCTCGCTGAAACCCACACTGACCCCAGACCTTCTGCAAATCGGTCCTTACCTGGGGTCCAATTCCCCTAGGCTTGCTGGAAGATGGGCCTCAGGACTGTGGCCTCACACTCTGGGACTCCGGCTTTGATGCTGAGGAGAGGGTTGTCAGGGGTGGGCTCCTGGGTCGTGGGGCTAGGAGGTAGCTCTCCAGGATGGGCAGGCTGGGAGGCAGATGAGGCAGCCCTGGCCTTGAGGCCTTCCTTTCCTGCCTAATGCCCACCCCAGGTTCAGGCTTCTATAGGAGGACCCACTACTTTCACAGTACCTGTTTTTCTGATACCTCCAGAATTTCAGATAACACCATAGCTTTTGCATGTAGTCTGCCTGCACAGGGCAATAGTGTGTCTTGGTCTGCATGGCATTTTCCTCCCAGAAATTTGTGACATTCATAGCCAAAGTCTGAGCTCTGGAGGACCGGGGCACTGTCCATTACTGAGTCTCCAGGTTGGGAGAGAGGAAGAGCTTCCCATATGTGTAGAAATGCCTAAAGCCCCTGGTGCTGCTGGCTTCCTGATCTCACAAACCCTAATCTCCTGGAGGGAATGCAAGGCTGCCTGCCCCTACCCAGCAGTGACTTCTCCATTCCAGTCCAAGTGAGGAACTCGGACCAGGAAGGACCCCTCCCTGGCCCTCTTCCATCCCTCCCTGTGTGGGCTGAGCCCCGCTGAGCACCATTCCTCACCCCTACTCACAGCCAAATCCAGTGGGAAGAGACAGGTCCTGCTCTCTGCCCCCAACTCTCCTGGAAAAGGCCTCTCCCATTACTCTTGCCCACTGCCCACTCTCACCTCCTTTCTGGCCCTTGATATGATCCAGGGTCCTCCTGAGCTCCTGCCCATTCTCTGTCAAGTCTTCAGTCTCTGTGTCCCAGGTCTCAGCTCCCAGGACTGCTTCTGCCCACTGTCCCCGGGGCCCTGCCCTGCCTTTCTGCCTGTCACAGAGCAGGAAGAGCTGACCATCCAGATGTCCCTCAGCGAGAAACCCTGACTGCACAGATCCATCCCGGGACAGCACCGTGAGGTTGTAACAAAGACTGTGGGGCTCTGGGGAAGAGGAAATCACAGATGAAACTTCTTCCTGGAAGTAACTTCACATCAATGTTTAACACACAGGTCTGCTGTCCCGACCTTCCTGAGGAGGCAGGAAATGCACACGGGCAAAGGGACAAGAATGAGGATTTCAGACGCAAGGAAAACTGGGAAGGTGGGAGGATAGAGGAGGGGACTGAGGAACAGAAGAAGGGGGAATGGGGATGGCAAACTTGTAGGCCAGGTGCCAGGGCAGGGCAGCCACAGGCCCCCTCAGGGTATAGGGAGGAGGCCAATGGAAGGGGCTGCCCTGCAGGTTCAAGGGAGGAGCATGAAGGCAGTGGTGGAAGGAAGGTCTTGCCAGAGGGGAGAGCAGAAACTGTAAGGGACCCAGGCTCAGAGGGACCCATGACCACCATGGCTGTGGTGCACAGGTAAGGGTGAGATGGAGGCAAGGTCCACTGCCTTTGAGGAAGGCTCAACATGGACAAGGTGGGGGCAAGGGAGACTTGGCTGTGAGGCAGGAGGGGCAGGTAGGCTGTGGTGCCAGAGACGTTTTCTACGAGGTCCATATCCCAGGGAGAAGCAATGGTGTGGGCTTCAGAGTGGCATGGCAATGCCCCAAGTAGGGAGGTGGATGGACCAGTTGGTGTCCCCTGGGGTGGGCTGGTGGCAAGGGTCTTAAAGAGTCAGTGCATCTTTTCAACAAATGGTGCTAGGAAAACCAGATGTTCACATGCCAAAAAAAAAAAAAAAATGAAGTTGGATCCCTAACTTACACCACATATGAAAATTAACTAAGAAAAACATCAAAGACCTAAACTCAAGAACTAAAACTGAAAAACTCTTACAATAAAACATAGGGAATTATCTTCATGCCATAGAATTTGATAGCACTTTCTTGGATATAACACCAAAGATACAAAAACAAAGAAAAAATTGATAAATTGGACTCATCAAAATAAAAAAGTTCATTAAAAACACAATAAACACAGTGAAAAAGCAACCCCCAGAATGAAAGAAAATATTTGCAAATCATATATATCTGATAAGAGATTAATATCCAGAATACATAAAGAACTCCTACAACTCAAACAGGAGACATTCAACTAATACAAAAGTAGGCAAAGGACTTGCATAGCCAATTCCCCAAACAAGATGTACAAATGGCCAACAGACACATGAAAAGATGCTCAGCATCAGCAGTCATTAGGGAAATGCAAATCAAAACCACAATGAACTATTACTTTACACCAATTAGTTTGGCTATTATCAAACACACACACACACACACACACACACACACACACAGAAATATCAAGTTTGGCAAACAGGTTGCGAAACTGGAACCTTTGTGTAATGCATTTGGAAATACAAAATAGGGCACCTGTTATGGAAAACAGTGTGTTGATTCCTCCAAAAATTAAAAAATGAATTACCAGCTAGGTGTGGTGGCTCACGCCTGTAATCCCAGCACTTTGGGAGGCTTAGGCAGGCAGATCACGAGGTCAGGAGATTGAGACCATCCCGGTCAACATGGTGAAACCCAGTCTCTATTAAAATACAAAATATTAGCTGGGTGTGGTGGTGGGCACTTGTAATCCCAGCTACTTAGGAGGCTAAGGCAGGGGAATCACTTGAATCCGGGAGGCGGAGCTTGCAGTGAGCTGAGACCGCGCCACTGCACTCCAACTTTGGCGACAGAGGGAGGCGCCGTCTCAAAAAAAAAAAAAAAAAAAAAAGAAGCAGTTGGACACACGGCCTGTGTTGGGTCTGGGTAGAGGAGGACAGATGTGCAGGGCAAGGACTGGAGGATGGGGTGAGCATGGTGTGGGGGTGACCCTGGGGGAACTTTGGTTAGGGTGAGGACAGGAGGGGAGGGTGCTCTGAGTGAGGGTGGGGCTTGGGAAAGATGAGAACTTGCTGAGGGCCCAAGGCAGCTGGGCAAGAGGTAGGAGCAGCACAAGGTCCCAAGGCGGAGAGGGGCGGAGGGACCAGGGAGGGATGGTCCAGCACCCGTGGGCTGGAGTGGGGGGTCCTCAAGAGGGTGGGGCTGAGGATGAAGGAGTAGGGAAGGGGCCACCGTGAGGCAGGGCCCAGAGCAGGCACCTGCACTAGAGGGGAGGGGGCATCTGCCCTGCCCTGTGCCCTGCCTAAGGCCCAACCAACATTAGCACTAGGGCTCCCCTTGGGTGGTCTAGAGGGGAGTGGGACGGAGGGAAGACCCTGGGACAAAAGGCGGCACCAGAGAGTTAGGGTCAGGGAGAGTTAGGAGTGGGAGGCATAGGGGCAGCCCTGGGTTAAGGCTGCTTCTAGGAAAGGCCCATAAGGGAGGCAGGAGGGACCTGCGGTGGCGGGGGCAGGGGATGAGGCAGAGGACATCCTAGAAATGTATCAGAGAACTGCAGATAGGAAGGGGTAACAGGGAGCTGGGAGGGCAACAGGACCCAAGGTGCCCTGAGGGCAGGGGAGGAGGTGGGAGGGAATCTGGTGTCCTTAGATCACCGGAGTTAATAGTAGCAGGGAAGGATGCAAGACAAGAGAGGATCCCCGGCAGCGGGAGGCCAGGGGAGAATGAGCTGGGGATGAGAGAAGTCGCAGGAAGAATCCTCTGCCCGGAGCCTGCAGACTCCAACCCCTCAGCGTGAGGGTCAGGAGCCCCACAGTCCCCACAGCAGCAGGAAGCACTAGCTCCGGGTCCCGAGAAAGGAGGGCCCCAACTCCAGGAGATGCGGCCCAGGAGCTGAGAACACGTCGGCTCCGGGAGAGGACAGGGCTTCAGGGACCTTAGGGCCGCCCCCAGCACCGAGGGAGGTGGCTGCCTCAGCGGCCGCGCTGGAAGGGCCCTCGAATGCCATTCACAGGAGCAGCCCAGGAACCCAGGGGCCTCAGAAAGACGGGTTTGTCCGAAAAGTGAGAGGAGACGGAGGAGAGGAGAGGAGAGAAAGTGCAGGACAAGACCAGAAAATGCAGGGGGCGGGTGATGAGCGATCCCGAGGAGGACTGAAAAGAGACGTGGAAGCAGGGTTGAGGTGTGGCGGGAACGGGCCGCGTCCACTCCCCGCACCCCCGACAGCGCACCTGAGCCCCGCCTCGGTCGCACAGCGCTCGCCGCTACCCACCCGGACCCCCAGAAACGCCCCGCCGCTGCCGCTCCGCCGAGGACCGCCAGGAACCCCACTTACCAGCAGCAGCTCCCTGGGGTGCAAAAAGGGCAGTGCGGATCAGGAACAGCAGGACTAGGCTCATCTCCATGGCCCAGACTTTGCTTTCCTCGCAGTGGCTCAAGCGGCTGCCAACCCAGCGGAGCCGCGAAGGCCCACCAGAAATTTCCTGTCACCTGGCCCCACCCCAGTGACCGCTCACCCAATGAAAACTGGCGCCCGCAGCTTAGGGCCAATCACGAGCTTGGAGGGCGGGGCCACACTCAGAAGGGAACGTTCCAGCGGTCAGGAGACCTGGAGAACTTTGGCTGGCGGGACCTGGAGCCCAGAAAAGGGGGAGCGCGCGGAAGCGCCGCCAAATGCGGGGACTGGCTCCGAGCAGCTGAGAGTACAGCCCCAACCGCATGAGCACGACCTGGGCCCTGCCGCCCTCCCTGTATTGCGACCACCCCATCCCCGCACCCCCACCCCTAGGATAGCGTGCCTCACCAAGACCGTTTCGCCAGCCACCCCATCAAGCTGACTGTCATTCGCTTGTTCTTTCCAGGACACACTTACAGAAGAGACGAGGCCTGGTTATTCTTCCAACACACTCCCCTCAGCCGCGCACAGCGTTACTGGCTATGTGGCCAGTGACCAGATTTGCAGACCTGTTTCCAGACCTCAGCTACCTCTGTTTCTGAAGCACCTGCCCCAGCTGATCCGCTAAGACGACAAATCTCTTAGACGTTTCAGCTTTACAATCTCCTTCTCCTCCCTTTTACTCAAAGCTAGGTCCCCTTTCTTATGGTCACTTCCTGTAAGTGTGTGAGGTCTCCCGGGGCTGCCTCTCTATTCAGCCCCTGGGTGATCAAAAGGCCAAGGAGGCAGCTTGCCAGTGTCCACTCCAACACCAAGCTCTCCCCAGACTCCCTTTTCCAGCCTGCTTTAGGACATCTGTACCTCTGAGACCATAGTAGCTTCCAATGTGACAGGTCTACAAGGACACTCTACACGTCTCGCATGACATCATCCTCTCTTCCTCCCCTGTTTCTCTTTCCGTGGTGCCTTCTGATTTCCCCCTTTTCCTTCTCAAGTACTCAAAGCTCCTCCAACCCTATTTTGATCCCACAGCCACTACTTTAGTCTCGGCTTTCAGCCTAGATCACTGCACAGGATTCAGCCTAGATTACTGTACAGGCTTCCTAAACACTGTGACTGTCCCAGCTATAGTCAGAGTGCTCTAAGACCCCCACAGCACCCCATGTGCTGAATGTCACACGTGAGGTCTCTACCATGGAAGCCACAGCTGCCACAACCTCCTGTCTGTCACCACCCCCATTTCTCTGGTGACATCCCTCTTTCCAGTGTTGCAGTAAAAGTGGGCTCCCCAATCTCCTTGCCCTGTCCCACCGGGATGCCACTGCCTAAGCAGTCTCCTGCTTCCAGATTACTGTCACTTCTGCCTCTGAGCCCATTAGACCGTGTCACATCCTTAAATCTTCCCAATTAGGCTGGTCAGAGTGTAGCGGTGTTTACAACTAATTGATCACAACCAATTACAGATTTCTTTTTTCCTTCTCCGCTCGCACTGCTTTACTTGACTAGCCTTTAAAAAAAGAAAATCTTCCCAATTAGATAATAGCGACTGTGGCACGATGTTGTGATTATGCTAAAAGCCACTGACCAGTACATTTTTTTTTTTAACCAGGAACACCTGCACTTTATTGAATGCCATTGTAGAAAAGTGTGTGAGGATAAAGGGCTGATACAGAACTCAGCTCTGGGGCCAGGACGAGGAATGGAAGTTGGAGTATGTGGAATACAGGTCATGGGCAGAGCTCCTGGCCTGGATGATGCCTCCTGATCTATCGACAGACTTGGAAGATCAACACTAGGATGATGATGGTGAGCAGAATGGTCATGATGATGCACACAATCAGGGCTCAGATGTTCAGGTACTTGGCAGTGGAGGCATAGGCCTGGGCCCCAGTCAGGTCTCCAACCATCTTCCTGTCCCTAGACTTCAGGGAGTAGGTGAATGCTATGAATCCCAGGCAGTGGGGGTTCATGAAGAGGATGTTGGACAGGGACCAGACAACATAGTCAGACACAGGAGGTCTCGCTGCAGATATGGATCATGGTGGACATTGGGGGAGCAGGGTTGTGGGGCGCCCCCAGCACAGCCACCTCATGCTCCTCCTTGAGCATCTCATAGCTGGGGTTGGGGGGCGGGGGAGGGCAGCCACTGTTGGCAGGAATGAAGAAGGTTTGGGCAGTGTGGTTCATGGTGTCCAGCAAAGACCAGCTGTGGTCAGGTTGCTGGGATGGTTCTGAGTGGGCCCTGGACTGTACATTTTTAAATGGTAAATTACGTGGCACATAAATTATATCTCGATAATAAAACACCATGCAAAAGCCTCTTTCTACTGAAAGAATCATCTCGTCCCCAACACACACGTCTCTTACTCTTTGGAACATCTAGCCAGTGGTCCTCAAACCTAGCCACTTCACAGAACCACCTGGAGAGTTTTTAATATCCACGGTCCCAGGTCACAGCCAAAACCAATTGAATCAGTAAGGCTAGGTTGGACCTAAGCTTCAATATCTTTTAAAGCTCTCTACGTGCTTCCAATGTGTAGGCAAGTTTTAGAACCACTGTTCTAGCCCATGGTTTGAACCTCCCTGATGGGTACCAACTTTGCCTGCATTCTTGAACTCCATCTACTATTTATTTATTTATTTATTTTTAAGAGGGGGAGATCTCACTCTGCCGCCAGTTGGAGGGCATCAGTGTGATCACAGCTCACTGCAGCTTCAGATGCCTGGGCCCAAGCAATCCAGCCACTTCAGCCTCCTGAGTACCTGGGACTGTAGGTGAGTGTCACCATGCCCAGCTGTCATCTACCATCTTGTACCATCCCCCACTACACGATGAACAGTCCATGATCTGGAACTGTGTTCATTCTATCTTTGTCACTCTTACAAACATTTTTTAAAACTGAACTATACCTATAATTACTAACCATTCCTCTTAAAACTCCTAGCCTACACATTTCTGTGAGTGAAAATTTAAGCATCACAGGGTTTTAACAATTACTTAGATTTCCCATCCACATTCACTGATTATTTATTTTGATCATCATAATCTATTGCGCACAGCAGGGACTGGGGTCCTGTCCCCACCTTAGGGGGATTATTTACACTCCTAAAGATTACAAGAGTAGTGAGGGGCAGAGAGGTGGTCTCAGCTCTCCTGACAGAGGTCTCCCTTCCCTCCACAGTGTCTACCCTCCCTCCAGGACGACCTTCCTCCCTGTGCCAGCTCTAGCAAAGGGTCTCATTCAGCTCACCCCAAAAAATACTTTTAATACTTAAATAACGACAATAATAATAATATACAAGGTTAGTTCCAAGGCATGTAGAGGTGATGGCCAGCAGAGGTGAAGCCAATCCACCCTTTCTGGGCTAGGGGAAGCCCAGATGGTCTTCCGCTCGGGGTGAGGCACTCCCCAGGGTCCAGGCCTGGCTGCCCGTCCCCCACCAAGTCTCCCAGGCCTTCTGTCCAATGCCCTCTCCCTCCACCCCACCTCCAGCCCCTTCTGCTCTGCCCCATCAACTACGTTTTCTTCCTCAGGACTCGCCTTAGACCTCTGAACTCCGGGGCACAGAGGCGACTTCCTCCTCGCAGACTTTAGGCGCCACTGCTGGGTCCGGAAAAGAAAGAGAAAGGACCCAGTGCGGTCGCTTACAGAACCCAGGGCGGGGTTGGGCTGGGCGCCCGCGCGCGTTTTCAAGCCTGCGGCCCGGAGTTCACTGCGAGGACTGAGATCACCCGTCACCCCGCCCTGGTCTACAAGTGTTTGCTGATATAGAAACGGAATAACGGCGCTGTGGGCTGGGGAGGACGGAGTTGCCTTCAGGCTTCTGGTCTCCAGCCGCGGGGCACTCACAGCTGCCGCTGTGAAAATGCAGACCTGTGGGGCAGGAATTCCGAGTCCGGGGTGGAGCGCGATGTGGAATCTGACTCGCTTGAAACAGCACCGCGGTGGATTCGGATCCGGGTGAGTAGGGAAATGCGCCTCAGCCCCTCCCACGGGCCGCCCACGGATTCCAGGATCCGAAAACGCTTCCAGCTGCTCCGCCACCCCAGGAAGGCAGCGCCTGCCTCTGGGCGGTTCTGACGGAAACTGGCTCCTCCGCCTGCAGGAACACTCACAACTAAGGGGCCAGGAGAAAGCCTCTCAGGGTCCCGCCCCTTCAGTGAGGATCCTAAATTTACATCCCGAGTGTGGCCCCATCAAAGACTGGAGCGACGTTCACTGAAATGATACAAGACCAGCAGGGGCGCAGGGCACTGCGGCCCTCAGAATGCGGTGACAGCGCCGCCTCGCGTCCCTTCCCCGACCTGCCCCAGGCGGACGCGGTGACGTGTGTTGGCCTCGAGGCTGGAATACACCGGGGATCAAGTGCAGAGAAGGGAGAAAGTAGGGAAGGATGGCTGGGGGGTGGGGGTGGGGGGAGCGTGTTGAAGAAAAAAGGGAAGAGAGAGGAAGGAAAGAGGAGAAAAAAGGTGAAGAAGAGAATAACATTTAAAATATAGAGTTTTATTATTTCTAACTTTTATTTTTGGTTTTTATCTAGTTTTGGTATGTATGAATATTGTTAACATAGCTTTATCTCTGTCTCTCTCTCTGAATCTGTAAATATACAGTAATATATATACACACGTAAGCCTCTACCTGCCGATGTGTCAGGGTGTGTCTCTTGGGCACAAAAACAAGGTTTTTGTTTTGTTTTGTTTTACATAAGCAAAGTACAAATCTCAAAGAAGATATATTTTAAAAGCCATTTTATTGGGACTTGCTTTGCATACAATCAAATGTATCTAAAATGTATCTATTTGAAATGCATAGCTCGTTGTGTTTTGGCTGTTGTACACACCCACATCTCCACTACCACAATGAAGATGTAGAACATTTCCATCGTCCTCCAAAGAACTGCTATGCAATACAATTTTATAGGGTCATAAAAGAGGTAAGATCAGTTTTAAGTATTGTTATGAGAAGATGTGTGCGTCTCATACTTTTAACCATTTATTAAAAGATGAGGATATACTGAATTATAATGCCAGTAATACCACTTCCATAATGTATATTTTAAGTAGGGAAAAACCTGGAAGATTTCTCACCAAAGTTTTTTTTTTTTTTTTTTTTTGAGACAGAGTCTAGCTCTGTCGCCCAGGCTGGAGTGCAGTGGCGCGATCTCGGCTCACTGCAAGCTCCGCCTCCTGGGTTCACGCCATTCTCCTGGGTTCACGCCATCCTCCTGCCTCAGCCTCCCGAGTAGCTGGGACTACAGACGCCCGCCACCACACTAATTTTTTGTATTTTTTTGTATTTTTTTTTTGGTAGAGACGGGGTTTCACCGTGTTGGCCAGGTTAGTCTCGATCTCCTGACCTCGTGATCTGCCCGCCTCGGCCTCCCAAAGTGCTGGGATTACAGTCGTGAGCCACTGCGCCTGGCCTTTTTTTTTTTTTTTTTTTTTTTTTCTGAGACGGAGTTTCGCTCTTGTCGCCCAGGCTGGAGTGCAGTGGTGCGATCTTGGCTCACTGCAACCTCCACCTCCAGGGTTCAAGTGATTCTCCTGCCTCAGCCTCCCTAGTAGCTGGAATTACAGTCACTCGCCACCACACCCATCTAATTTTTTGTGTTTTTAGTAGAGATGGGGTTTCGCCATGTTGGACAGGCTGGTCTCGAACTCCTGACCTCAGGTGATCCACCCGCCTCAGCCTCCCAGAGTGCTGGGATTACAGGCGTGAGCCACTGAGCCCTCACCAAAGTCTTGACAGTGACTCCAGGGACTACAATAACTTGGTGATTTTCACTTTCTCTGAAATGTTGGAATTTTATATTACAGTATTAACTTGGATTTGGCTTGGCCCGGTGGCTTGTACCTGTAATTTCAGCTCTGGAAGGTGAGGCAGAATTGCTTGAGACCAGGAGTTCGAGGCTGCATTGAGCTATGATTGTGTTACTGCACTCCAGCCTGGGTGACGAATGGAGACATTGTTTCAAAAAAAGAAAAATAAATGCAATTAAAAATAAAAATAAACCTGAATTTGTATGGAGGTTAAGGAAGAGTATATCTCAGTTTGAAACATTATGAAGCTAAGCCCCAAACCCAAATAGTTAGAGATTTTTAAATACCAAAGTGTTAATTAAAACTCAACACCAGAAACTCTCTTTTAAGAGTATCCTTCATATTTTCATGGCATTGACTCTTTCTTAGTGTCTTTGACAGAAATGTTTTTAGTGGAGTAGAGATACATGTAATAAAATTTACAGAAGGGCTATAATAAAGAGGGAAACGCAAAATCGAGTCTGACACAGGAGACCCTGTTCCATTTATACTCAAAGCAACTTTGAAAACTGCGCCGTCATGGTGTCTTTGGGTTGAGACAAAGTCGAAGCAAATTTTGTTCCTAGAGTATTGATTTCCCCTTTCCAATGGCTAAAGGCTTTCGGAACTAGTCTGAAAACTCAGGCTCTGACTTTGGATCTAAAGAAGTGTCAAGAATGTGCGGGCAGTGGCGCTGCATGAATCTAGCGGGTCTGGGCGATGCTCTCTCCGGCTCTACCCAGTAGCAATTGCGGTAAGGACAGGACGCAGCGAAATTGTACCAGTGAGTCAGAGGCCAAAGGAGGAATCCTGGCCCAACAGCGCAGAGTGTGCTTTGTTAAGGTGGGGATCAGGTAGCGGAGGGAAGGCAAGGACACTCGGAATAAATGGCAGAGGAAGAAGGCGCGCGAGGGAAGACCCAAAGCCTTCCGACCCCTCCTTCCTTTCCTTCCTGTTGGGGTTGAAGGGCACCAGCCGGTGGGGTGCAGAGAATGGGAACAACTAGAGAGGGCGTGCCCCACACAGGCGTCCCGGCTCCCTTCTCCCAGCTACTACTGATGAGTTCAAACTAGGAGGACACTAAGACGTGTCTTTTGCAAGGTAGACTCCTTATCTCGCACTCTGTCTGGTTTTCTAAATCCATCCTAATGAAACACAAAAACCAAGAGCCAAATTCTGCGTGTGACTTTTCTGACCACTATAAGGTCCTCCCCCTCCCCATTTCTTGCGTGCTCCCCCCTTGCCTCGCCCCCTCCCCTTTGTCTCCACTTCCCCGCTCCTAAGTATCTCCTGCTTTCTTCAGAGGACTTCTCATGAAGTACAGACTCCTCCACCTCCAGGAAAAAGAGACAAAGTCCACTGAGAAGGACCTGAGGGATGCCTGTGACCCCGCCCCTGAGGTCAGCCCCTCCCGCATCGCTGGCTTTGACTCTGTATGTGTGTGTGTGTGTGTGTGTGTGTTTGTGTGTGTGCGCGCGCTTGTGTGTGTGTCTGTGTGAATGTTAATGGAGAGTCAAAGTGCTAAACTCGGCATCTATCATAGGAAACTTCCTCACCTTGGCACTGCATGCAAGAGTCAGCGTATTTATGTGCACCTGTGCCTTTATTTCAGGAGCTGGAACAATTTTATTCATGAGATCCGCAGAGTGCCAACGCCCCCACCCCAGAAAGCTTAAGGGACTCTGCATTAGAGAAGAGGGTGAGATTGGAGGGGCCCCTGACTCCAAATCTCCTGATCCCCCCCCCACAAAGAGATGCTGAAAAAAAGTGCTGGACAATCCATTCCCTCCTGGGACCAGAGAGGAAGCCAGAGGCACCGTGGATGTCAAATTCCAGCAAAGAAACAATTACAGCAAAATCTCCATGTCACATTTTTAAGCTTACACAATGGCTCAAATAGAACCAGCATCAAAAATCCCGAATTCCTGGTTCAGGTGGGATCACTGAAGTCTGCTGTTAGGCTTGGCAGGACCTGCAGGTAGAAAGAATGGCATCTCTATTTAGAGCTGCAGCCCAGTAGCCCCTGCTTCTTGGGCTCTTTGAAAAGACCCTCTCCCTTCAGCAGTGCACAGTGAGGCCATTTCTGGGGAAGAAATGTAGACTCTCCTTGGGGGAGGTTTTTATACTTAGTTACTGACTTTGCATTCGTTGACTTCATCTTTGAACATCTTACAGTTACATAATTTGCTTTGACTCTAAGTGTAGAACAAGGAACTGTTCCTGAAGCAGAAAACTAAGGGTTGGTGACCTGCACTGTCACCCCTCTCCATGGTGCTCTGATGCAATAAAATTGTGAGCCAACAAATCCATGGATAGGTAAACAGTAAACCATTTCAGCAAATGTTTCAGATGCTCCTTCGTGCCTAGCAATGTTCTAGCTTTACCCCAGCCTTAACATTCTAAAGTTTATATTTTCCTTGGTGTTGTTTTAAAATAATTCATGTATATTTATTACCATGGGTTTGTTGCTGTAAACTCCTGGGAATGAACTGTAGAATTAAGTTAAGTAAATAAATGTGTGATTCTCCATTGACTTATTGCTAACACCATCTTAAATATTTGACCCCAAATCCAATCACTTCTCACTCCTCTACTACTTTACCCCAGAGCCAATCCTCTCTAGGATAGTAAATCAGATGGGCCTTCCAGCTGGGCTGCCTGCTGCTTCTCACACCTGCTGTCCATCACCCATGCAACAGGCAGAGCGAGCCTTTCAAATGGGAATTACGGCACATCCTCACCATCACATCCCACGGACACTCCATCCTCTTCCTTTCTTAGTGCAATGAAATCCCAGTCTCCCACCATTTCCTACTAGCCCCTCAACACAGGGCATCTGTGGCCTCATCCCACTACTCTCAATAGAGCTTGCTGGTCTCCATTCACACCAGCCTCTTGTCACTGCTCTGTTCTTGTCTCTGGCTTAGAGCTACTTCCTGCTATGGTCCTTGGACTTGTGATGTGCAAGAAGTTCTCAGGTATGGGAGGGACTAGAATGATGGCTTTGCCCCATCTCACATGTAGGGATCCCACTGCTCTTGGGGGATTTGCTGAGTCACTTCTCCCTGTTTCTGCTGGGGCTGGGGATGGTTAACCCAGTCAAGCCACACACCCTGAGAGGAAACCAGGTAGACAGGCTGACTGACAAGGAGGGCACAGCCTGTCAAGTGGCCAATGACCCCAGTCAGAAGAGGTGAAGGGTGAGAGAGGAGGCTGCTGGGAACCAGAAGCTTGGCAGCCAGGAAGACTGAGAACAATCAGGCTGACAGTAGAGGCTGTTCACTCTAAGCCCCAGGGTGCGGGGGAGGGTCCTTTACACCAGGGAGCTTCAGGTCTCGTGACTGTTTCTGGGCTCTGTACTCTCCTGATCCTCCATGAGGATTTTAAACAGTGAGATAAGGTATCCAGGGCCCCAGGAATCTGAATTACCTTTACCAAAGAGATCATCCTTCCATTTCATTTCTTATAAGATATGAAATATTAAATCAAACTAATACAGGATTAATGTGAAGCTAGCAGGTGTTTTGTGGATGGATTCCCCTGGCTGTTTATACTGGGGGAAGAAACAGGCCTGGCCCCATTCACAGATGAGAACAACAGGGTAGCCATACTCAGAGGACCTCAATACTGGGTGCTCCCAACCCTGCAGGAAAGACCCTCCCTGCAAACAGATGTACAGGAGGGTGACTGCAGGATCCCATGCTGTCTCTTTCTCCTCTCCTGAATCCTGGGTTTACCTTCCTAATTTCAGCTAAGTAGCTATATTAACCAGTTATTTAAGACTCACAGGGCCCCTCTCTACCATGGCACCTAACAGGGTCTTCTCTCCTCAAAAGAACTTCAGGAGGGGTCTACTCAATAAAAAGCAGCATGGAAGGGGCGGTAGGGGCAGCTCATCTCTAACTCCTGAAATAGACAGGATGGAGCCACCGTCTCATTCCTCACTTATCCTATGGTCCTGCCTCAAATACAGTCTCCTGCAGGCTCTGCTGGGTCTTTTTATTATCATTCTCCAGGTGGTGACCGGGTCCCTGATGCTGATGTGGTGCTCACAGCTTCCTGAAATATGACCCTTGGGGCCCAACACCAACAGGAGTTGAGGCCGGGGAGAAGCTTCAAGCTGTAGGGGATCTTTGGATTTGAAAGTAGGGGTTGGTCACGGGCTGTCTGTAATGCTCAGGGTGTCAAGGCTGAGAGTGGCTGAGCTGAATCTGCTCATTAGCATGTTCTCCACTGTTTGAGAGCTGCCTTGTGCAGACCAGCAAGACACAGATTGTTCACAGCTCCCCTTGTCTCTTGGAAGACCCTGACTTCTCTTTCCCCAGCTGTGCAGCTGATGAGCTCTATCTCCTCCCAAGCATAGCAAGGGGAGGATGGTGGGAGTGAGGCCCACTCCTCTGATGCCCCAGAACCCCTTCCACGTAATCTCAATATCCAGGCCTGGTGTATCTCCCTGGACCATCATTTCTTTTCTGGGAATGAAAGGGTTACAATATCTCCCTCCTAGATTTCCCTTGTCACTCACTCACCCTGAATAGACTTCTTACTCTATTAGTTATTGTTCTCATATCATTTCTTTGAAGCTGTGGTAAAATATTATCAGCCATTAATAAAACATGGAGGTTAGGTTCTCTTTTTGGATTCTGAGGATCTGCTGTGCTGGGGCAGGGGCAGGTGGGGAGAGAAGGGCGGGTGGAGGGCCAGGTGCTGAGTGGTGTGTGGCCTCGCTCTGTGCTCAACAAAGCTCCTGCTGTGGTCATTTCCTGTTTATTTGTCTGGATCTCTCCTTGCATTGTGATTGGTGCCTGGTCTTTAGGGGTGGGTGCTGCTCCAGGTCGGAGGCCTCACACAACTCCAGGCTGAGCCTTTCTTCAAGTCCATGGAGGTCAAGGGCAGATACTGGCAGCTCTCCATCCTGCCCTCGCCTCCACTTTATCTGGCATATTTTTATATGTTGATCTGATCCTCCTCATAAGGGATGTATATGAGCATTATTTTGTAGGAGAGCCGCTATGTCCCACAGTGGCCATGCTCTGTCCCTGACACCAGGATCCTGTGTGCTTTGTTGTTGTCGTCCCCTAAAGACCCAGGACAGCCTCTGCACATGGGGCTTCTCAGATGACACAGATTGATCGTTCCCACCTCTGCCTTCTTTCCTGTTCCATTTCCAGAATGCTTCTATTGTTTCCCTTTTATTGTAGTAAGTCAAATTTTTGAATTAAGGCCTGGGCACACTCACTCACGCCTGTAATCTTAGCACTTTGGGAAGGCTAAGGCAAAGGGATTGCTTGAGGCCAGTAGTTAAAGACCAACCTCGGCAACATAACAAGACCCAGTCTCTTCCAAAACAAATTGAATTCGCATTGTGAATAGATATGTTATTGCCATGTCATAAATAAATTCTTGTCCCTTTTTCTGTGGGAGCACCCTGTGGTCTGGGTCCTGGCAGGAAAGATATGGCACAGAAGGAAGACACGTTTTAAAGAGGTTCTGGCAGGGCTAAGAAAGTCACAAGGGGCACTGAAGCTCCCTGGGATGATCTGTAGCAGGAAATGGTTTGCATTTCTGAGCTTGAAAGAGCAAGGAAGGGAGCAGTTTCTAGAACTCAGGCAAATCTGTAGCTTTCACTAGGGGCAGCCCGCCATGCCTATGGCTGTAGATAGAGGCCTGAAGTGATTACAGAATCACAGAGCTGCCCAGAGTAAGTGAGGGAAATGAAAACCCTGAGTTACTCCTCCTCCCACACTCCCATCTCCTGCAGGTGCCTGTTATCATCCACACCCAAGCACAAGCCAGATGGTGAAGGAGCACAGGCCATGTCGTCTGTCTGTCATAGTTGCCTCCCAGTGTAGGGGGCAGGATGGAAGAGAGTGGATGATGGCTCTGTGAGGAGATGGAAGCTGAGAATAATGCACTTGCTTACAGTGTTCACATTCTTCATGGAATTTACTTAAATACACTAGCATTTGCTCTAATCCAAAATTATACCTTTAAAAAGCAACGTTTCGGCCAGGCATGATGACTCACGCCTGTAATCCCAGTACTTTGGGAGGCCGAGGCGGGTGGATCACCTGAGGTCAGGAGTTCGAGACTAGCCTGGCCAAAGTGGTGAAACCCTGTCTCCACTAAAAATGCAAAAATTAGCTGGGCATGATGGTGGGCGCCTGTAACCTCAGCTACTTGAGAGGCTGAGGTAAGAGAATTGCTTCAACCCAGTAGGCAGAGGCTGCAGTGAGCCAAAATCATGCCACTGCACTCCAGCCTGAGTGACAGAGTGAGACTCCGTCTCAAAAAAAAAAAAAAAAAATCATGTATATATGCTTAGCAGGTAGTAACATTGAAGAGTACCTAACTCTCCTTCCCTATCTCCACATGGGACGTATAACTCATAAATAAATACCTTAAATTATTTGAGTATAAGCCATAAAAGCAGAGTCTGGCTCATATAAGCAAAAGGAAGTTGCTGGGCAGCTGTGGGTGAGGTTCACAGAATCATAGATGCTTCCAAAGTACCAGGACAGCACCAAGGAGCAGGCAGCAAGCCCTGACCAGTCTCACTGGACTCACCTGTGGAGTGGGAGAATTGTCACTGTTTCCTGATATCTTGTCATTGCTGAGCTTTAAATTCTGGAATAGTTTACTTAAATGGCTTAGTTTGGATCTCATAAATTTCTTATTTGCTTGTGATTTAATTTCAGGGATAGAGTCAATATTTGAATTTGACTCTATCCCTAAAAATGAATTCAATTTTGAAGTTGAATCCAAATTCCATTTCAAGGATAGAGTCAATAGGAATAGAGTCAATGTTTTCCCTTAATGGGAGCTCCTTTTCTCCATTTATCTTCTTAAAGCAGGGGGAAGGGGATGAGTCTTTCAAGTTCCCATGGACCCATGGACATCATGAGATCAACCTAATTGCCCTCATTCCATTTTCCTTTACTTTGCAGAAAAGAAACAAATTCCTTTCCACCCAAAATATGACAGCGCCTGTGGTCCAGGGCTGGAGCCCATAGTGGATGCCCAGCAGCCAACTTCCTGGAATTGAGACCTCCCCAGCAGGCTTGGGGGTGAAAAGAGAAACTAGACTCCAAAAGGGACACCAGTGCTCTGTTGGGGAGAGAGGAGCACACCACTGCATCCCACCCTGAAGAATGGGAGTGAGAAGAGAGGACAGGTGAACCCACCATGGCTCCAGTGAGATGGGAGCGGGGAACGCCCAAGAAGGAGGACAGCCATGGGGTGGCCCCAGCCAAAGCCACCAGACATCATTACATGTCTGGGGCCCTCTCAGGCCGACATGAGTTTTACTGCTCCACACACTCTTTTGTTAAGAGCTAGCTGTCAGTAGATCAGTGAGAGAGCAACTTTGATACAGAGGAAACCATGCCTGAAATGGGTCATCCCAGAAGAATTTAGTAGTAGGTTCTATGCTTCCCTCCAGGGCCTCATGGGCGTGGGCAACTTTTTTTTTTTTCCAGCCACTCACCCTAGGTAATGAAGAAAGCTCTCTGAACTGTGTCCTTGCTAGGCACACAGGCCCCTACCACATGTACATGGCATGGGAGTCATGGCTAAGGCAGGGTGAGACTCCTATTTGAGGCCAGGAAAAGCTAATGACCCTACATTTGGTTCAGTCCTTGTGGGGTCCTGACTAGGGTGTGGGCCACTGTGTTCCCACAGATGCTCTGTTAGCCCTTAGGCTGTGAGATACACAGGCAAATGTTATATTGAAGCCTTTGTTTCTCTTACACGGAGGCAACACTACTGCAGCAGAGCAAACCTTATTGTATCAGTGCACCAACCCCAAGTTCATGTTCATTACAGCAGGAAAAACTAACATGTGGTGAATTCTGCCTCCACAAGGGACAAGGACCTGATAAGACTACAATGACCAGGATGGCCAATATCCCTGTCTTCTTGCAACTCAAACTTTGCCTGGTTACCACCTACTTGCCCCAACTCCTTGGACTCCAGCCCTCCGAGGACAGCCAGACATCTGAAGGAAGTGCCAGGCACAGATGCCAGGTTGCATAAGTGCTGGCCCCTGAGCAACTGGAGAAGCTGTTAGGTCCCAGCTGGCCTAGAGATCCCTGGCTCAGGGAGTATAACTGGATGCCTTGAACAAAGACATGGGGTCACTGGAAAGAGAGGACCGGCTGTCCCTCCCCACTAAGAAATAATTAACTGTTAGATGAGGGGGAATTCCTTTTCAAGGGCTCTGTGGACTGTGCTGCTCTGGAGGGGGTAGGGAGAGGGAGGAGCCCTGAGGTCTGGGCTGGGGTGTGGTTGGGAAGGAGCTGAGAGCTGAGAGCTGTAACTACACAAGGAGCTGCAGGGGTGAGGTTGGTGCAGGGTGGGATTTAGAGGATTTCCCCCAGACTCCTGTGCTGATCCCCTTCATCTCCTCCACCCCCACCCTTGGTGTCTGTCAACATGCGGGGGTGCCCTCATCTTCCCACTGCCCCTGGAGCTGTTCTACTCTTCCACGCTTGCCTTGGGGTTTTCAGAGCAGCATCTTTGTGAGTCCTGGAGTGCTAGGGACCAGGAGGGGAGAGGAGGCAATAGCCTCCTTTAATTTGGCAACAGCTTTTCGTTATCATCTCCACTTTCCAAGGCAGGAAAAGTGAAGGCAACAGCTCTGAGAGATCCTGGAAGAGGAAAAACCATGGCGGGTGAGGCAGGGAGCTGTCTGAGTTTCCTAGCAGACATCAGGAGCCCGCCCTTCCAGGCCTGGGCTTTGCTTCAGTGCCTGGCCCTGCATAGGCCCCTGCCCCTGTCCCGTTCTGCTGCCCCCACCTCCCTCTCAGCCTGGCCCCAGACAGAATCCAGACCAACTCCTGTCTGCTGTGAAAAATGTTCCTGCCAGTTTAGGCAGATCTTGCTTTAGAGCACTGGTGCCCAGCCTTCCACAGGTCTTGTGTCTGTTTTTCTTGGCACTATGTTTCTTCTCATGTATTCTTCTGAATTGGCAAGGCAGGAATTACATCACTGGTTTGCAGATGAGGAAACTGACTCATATGGTTTCATTCAGCACTCATTCACTGTGAAAGTGTCTGTCAGGGCCAATTGTGGGCCAGATGTGCCCAGGGTTCTATAGCTAGCTGGTGGAAAGGCCTGAAGGGTTCATATTCAGGTCCACTTGACTTGAAAACTCATATTGACCTTACTTATGTACTAATTCCCACCTTACAATCCATGCCACAAACTTTATTGTCTTAAGAAGTTGCCACAGCAGCCTTCAGCAGCCACCTTGTCATCAGTCAGCAGTCATCAACATTGAGGCAAGACCCTACTCCAGCAAAAACATTAGTATTAGCTGAAGCCTCAGATGACTGTTAGCATTTTTTAGCAGTAGTGTAATTTTTAATTAAGGTATGTACATATCTATTTTATACATAATGCTATTGTATACTTAATAGGCTAAAGTATAAATATAACTTTTATGTACACTACAAAAACAAAAAAATTGTGTGACTTGTTTTGTTTGCATGATCTGAAACCAAATCTGCAATCTCTCTGAGATATGTCTGTAATTTCCCTTTCCCTCTTCTTGCTGGCCCAGAATGACCTTGTTTCTTGTCCCTGTCTAGCCCTGCCTGTTACAGGGGTTTGCCTTCTCTGGTAGGTCTGGACACTTTGTATCCCCTGTAACCTTGCCTCCTGGCATATGACACTAGTACTAGCCTCAAGCTCTGTTGGACTAGCGAGCCTCACTCCACACCTCCTGAACTAGAACCAAAGCTCTGTGCACACACCATTCATGTGAGTCTGTAGAGATCTCAGCTTCCTGCAGGGTGTTCTGAAAGGGTGTTCTGTTGTGACTGGAGGACATAGCCACAGGTCTCTGGGCAGAGGTGGCTCAGAAAAGAGTGGGTGGCCCCAGTTTGGGTCATCTGGGAAGGGGAAGATTTTCAGATAAAAACCCATGCCTTAGAAGACAAAACTACCCAAGAGCTGGCAGCAGCTAACCAGCTTGCTATCTGGGATACCACTTTGCAGTGGGAGGGAAGATAGCCTCTACCATGGTGTAGGGGTCCAGGGACCAGGCAGGGAGGTCTTCCTAGTGGTCAGTGCTTCTCACAGTTGGGAGATGAATCACCTTTCGATGAGGCCAAAGACCTCATGTTCCTCACTAGCTGACTTGTTCCCACTCAGTGGAAAAAGAACCCAGAACCTTTGCAAAATTTTAGGAGAGAAGGACTTTCCCTCTTGTCTCTTAGTGCCAGGGTTATGCATGACTCATACTTGAATTGCAATGTGTACACAGCTTAAAGTCTTAATTATTAGAACATAAGAGGCCCAAACCACTGTTGTTATAGATATGTAAAACTATGCAGTACAAAATTAAACAACCCCCAACCAATTAACAGTGGAGATAAATTATCAATATTTGTAAATTTAAAACAAGATCGACAGCCCTTTAGAAAAACAACAAAAAATGAGACTTTTGCAAGACAATCTAAATGATACGCTAATAACAAACCTTCATGAAAATGACATTTCGACCATCTGAGTTTCTGCTTTAAGTTACAAATTCCAAAAGGTACTAATCCCCAATAATTTACAGTAGGGAGCCCTAAGCCACAAAGAAAGGTGTCAGGGCACACCTGAGACCTGAAGTGAGAACATACCCTCCCTCAGGGTCACGAGTGAATCCTCTAAGACCCCTCCTCCCTCAGACACTCCATCCAGTCATCAGAAGGTCCACACAGCACTAAGACCCAACCACCTCACTGTCTTCACCTCCATGGAGAGAGCCCAGGTGACAGCCACCCCTGCTCCTCCTCCTTCATCTCCCACAGCCTCAGCACCATCGTCTGCCTCGAGTCCACCAGGACTGAGCTCCTCATGCCCTTTCCCTGTTTGTGTCAGTCACACTGGGTCCCCCATATACCCAGCACTTGCATCCCCACAAGGCTCCGCACGCTCTATTCTGTCCCCCCACCATGTCCCCTACCTAACTCCAGAAATCTTCCCTCTGTACTCCCTGGAATCCTCAGTCCATGATCAGCAAAACCTCCTCATTCTCTCTCAGGATGCTCCCTCACCTCGAAGCTCTAGCAGGAACCAGGTCTTCCTGAGGATGTGACCCACTCTGAAGTTCCCCTACATGGGGGAGTTTCCCAGCAACTTGTACCCCTGGGTTCAGAGGTGAGGTGGGGTCCTTGCTCTTCACTGTGGTTCTCAGACCTTTCTGCCTCCCTCCTCCCTAAAACCCCTAAGCTGTCAACAGACTAAGGCCCCGCTCCCCTCATTGTAGCCATTCCCTGTGGGCCCCAAGCCATTCCTGTCAATCCTAACTCTTGTAGCTCCTAGATCACTGTCACCCTCTCCAGCAGTGCTGTCTCCTTGATTCTTTCTGACTTCAACATATGCAGATGTGCTGGGCTGAGTACTAGTCCCCAAAGAGATCCAGTCTTAGTCCTTGGAGTCGGTGAACAGGTTGCATTGCATGGCAAAAGGGACATTACTCATGTAATGAAGATAAAAGACCTTAAAGTAGGGAGATAATCCTGGACTCTCTGTGTGGGCCCGATCAAATCACATGAGCCATTAAAAGGAGAGAATCTGCTCTAGATGGAGTCACATGCTGCAGAGAAGGAAGGCAGAGGAGACACAGCAAAGGGGAGATCAGTGGTTCCAAGCAGGAGGATTGGATGTGCTTTAGGCACCAGAGAGAAGTCTCTAGGATCTAAGGGTGCTCCCAAAAAGGAAGTGGGAAGCTCAGTTCTATCTGCAGGAAGTGAATTCAGACAAGAACCTGAATAAGCTTGGATGTGGACTCTTCCCCAGATTCTCCAGGAAGGAGCACAGACCTGCCCATACCTTGATCTTAGCCCCGTGAGACTGGGTGGACTTGCAACCCACGCAACTGTGACATGATAATTAGGTGCTGTTTAAAGCTGCTTGGTTTGTGGTAATTTTTATGGCAGCAATAGACACCTATACAGCAGAGAAGATGCCCTCACTCCCTGGCCTCTCAGATCCTGGAACTCCTTTTCTTCATTACCATCTCCTCTCTCTGCCGGAATCTCAGGACCTTGTCCTCCCCTAGGCCTCATCATGGCAAAGAACCCCAGCCCTTCCACACTCTCAATCTCACACTTCCCACTCTCTGGCCATCTTTCCACTCATCCCCTTGCAGGGTAGCCACAGGCTCTGAAGACACTGATGCTATAATTTGATCATATGCTATAATGTAACATCAGTGAACCACTCATTGCATGTGTGCCTGCTTTCCAGGCATGGAGTCCATTCTGTAGTACATCTATTCCAATAATTTTTCCACCCCCTTGAAATTCCCAATCCAGTGATGCTGCTATCTATTCCTTCTCCCTTAGTGTTTGTTGTCCTCTCCTCCCTCCTCATCCATTTTGGATTCTGTAGTAAATAATTTCCATCCCTCCCTTGCCTCTCCCTTTCGTTGTCACACTTGCCTGGCAAAACTACACAGCTAGTGGATTCCACCTCAGCCTACACTGCACCTGCCCCCATAAGCTGCAGGAGGCTGGAGAGCAGCACACAGCATGCTGACTGTTCTCTCTACATTCACGACCCAAACCTCATGGGGAGCCCCCACCATAGCCAGCAATCACCCTCTCCCTGCATGGCTCACTCTCAGCCTCCTCCTGGCCTGGGTGACTCTTACATACCTTCTCTCTGTCCTCACACATCCAATCTTCCTTCCCCATTCTTACTTCCGCTGATGATCTTGCTTCCTACTTCACTGAGAAAACTGAACACATTTAGAAGACAACTTCACAGATTCCACCACCGTCTGCTCATGCATTTGCAGCTGCACCACATGTCAGGCATTTTACTACATGGGGGATTGCTGTGTGTTAACCATCCTGCTCCCAGCCAGAGCCAGTTCCTCTGCTGGTGCCCTGAACATCATCCCTTCTCATCTACTTAAAGTGTTAGCTCATCAATTAATACCTTTTTTTTCCCTCTATTGTCATCCCTTTTCCTTTTATTCCAGTGGATCATTGTGGCACTCATGAGGATGCACATCCCAGGCCCTCAGGTAGAGGAAGAATAATTGATGATGTCCCAGCTGTCGCAGCCTGAAATCTATTGTCACGTTTGATCTGAGACCACACCTGCCCCAGCTTTTTCCAACCAATGATTGACCAAAGCAGGAAAACTAAGGCAAGAATATTCCTACTCTGAAGGCTGGCTGAGGCTCCAGGACTCCCTGCCATCCCTACTGAGCTTCCCTTAGCCTACACAGGGTCTAGGATGCTTCCAGCTGACCTTCCTGCCCTCTCTCCTTCACTGGGACTCAGAGTTGCATTGTGATCTGATGGCTTTTCCAGCATTTCTGTCTCTATCCTGATTTTCTCTCACAACTATTTCCCCTAATAAATCCTTACACATTTAATACTGTATTGGGGTCTAAGTTCAGGACCGCAGCTATCACAAGTGGTATCAAGGGCGATCCATGAAAATGACCAAAACTGGAAATTTGAAATAAGCTTTCCCACTGCCTGTCAGGCCAAGAGGATGCCATCTAGGTTAGCGGGGGACAAAGAAAGTCCATAGAGAAGTTGCGTCTGAGTGCCGTGGGTCTCACCAGTGCTAACCTGAGAAGATGCTCTGGTTAGGGGAAGCTATGGCAGATGTGGTGATAGAATGCCCTGCACAATAATGATGGAGTTGGGGGTAAACCCACAAAGACAGTGGAGTTGGCTGGTTACTTCCCAGCTGTGTTGATGCTCTATAAAAGGATAATGAGAATCTGCAGGTTGTTAACAGCTGTCACTGGCTATGTGTGAGAGTCTCTGCAGTGTCTCATGGAGAGGCCTTTATCTCCTGGATCAAAAGAGCAGATAGCATGGAATGGTAGCTGAACATCATTATGGTGGGCACAGTGCTCCAGAGACGTTTGATACTCAGCCAACACAGGCCTTTTATAGGAAAGTCAGGGCCCTGGTGGGGGAACCTCAGATTCTGCAAACTAGAACAGAGTTATCTGATGGGTGCCCTCCTCCAGGACCCCCTGGGCATGCAGAGGAGGCTCACCCTTCTCTAGTAATCGTTCCCACTTCCTATGCTGAAAGATGCTACAGAAGCCTCACTCCTACGATGCAGCAGGAATCCCACTCAGGAGCTTTGCAGGAACTAGCCAGCATGTCCCCATAGGGGCCTGGGGTGCACTTCTGGGATTGGAATTTGAGGGCATTTGATCAATAAACTAGAATTTCAGTCTGGATGAATAAAAATCCTTTGGCTTGGAGGCACTTTCTCAGGACATGGGTTTATCAAAGAACCCAGGACATGGGGTAAACCCACTACTGGGGTGAGTCCATATAGACTGGAAAAAATGATGCCCAACTCTCAACAAGGTAGATATGACCTAGTTATCCTGGAACATGTAGAGGATGCAATAACAAGGCTGAGGGAAGTGGGCGTGATGAAGGCCCACCAGGACCATGCTCCACAAGAGGACCCAGAGGGCACATCTTCCACCAGAGCCTCAGGAACATGCTGTGGAGAGGGACCTGCATCACTAAGAAGTGTCGGGGTGTTATCCTCTGCAGGCTGGGGGTAATGATAGTAAAGGTCCCAGAGTTGTGCTTATTCATATCTCTGGGGAGAATGTGGGCCTGAAGAGACTGAGAACAAGTGGTGGCAGTGACCTGCAAAAGCCGGAGGGCATGGTTACCATGGCAACCTCAGAGGAGCAGCCAAGGGGACTCAAGCTGCAGGGAGTGTGGGGAAAGTTAGTAGAGAGGACACCAGGGTTACAAGAGGCAGCCAACAAGGGCACTGCTTGATATATATGATAAGAAAGCAAGAATTGAGGAGCAGGAGACTGAGGGTGTTCGACCAAATACAAAGCCATGATCCCCTTCTCAATGCCTAGACCTCAATCAAGATTCAGACTCAGATCTCAGTGACAGAGGAGGAGTCCATATCCCTAGAGAAAGGACCCTGGGACACCATGGAGGTATATGGCTGGGACAATTCCCTCAGTCTTTCAGCAAGGGAACCTATAGCCATTTACTCAGGAGACTGTACATTGGGGAAGGGAAATAGGCAGAACTAGGGGGGATCATTTTCACTGCATGTAAGCTGATATTGATGCCCAGATGCCCACAGCACAATCATCTTCTCCATCACAGTGGGGCTTACGGAGGCCAGGGAGTAAACCTGGACACATTATGGCCCGCAATGGGACCACTGGATGCATAGACCCAACCCTGATTATCTTCCAATTCCCTGAGTGCATAATTGACACTGATGCTCTGGTAAGTGGAGTCACCCCCACACTGGGTCCCCAGTCTGTGGTATAAGGGATCTCTTGATGCCAAAGGCCAAAGGGAAACCTCTGAAACTGCCCCCATCCTGGCCAAATCAAAAATCATAGTGTGTCCCAGCGTGGGTCTTGTGAAGGACACTGCAAGTATTGTGGGGGTCACACCACCATTACAAAGCTGAAGGAGGCGGGGTGGTGTTGAGGCTGCCTATTGTCTCCGTGTAATCCAGCAATCTGTCCCTGAGGAAGCCTAGTGAGGCCTAAAGAATGAATGAGATTACTCCAGATATGGCCAAGTAGGAGTTATAAGTGCAGCTTTTGTGCTGTCTGGATATCACTGGTAGAGCAGATTAACAAAGCCTTGGGCACACAGTGTGCAGCTGTGGATTTGGTGAGTGCATTTCTTTCCATTCCAATTACAAAGGGGATATGGAGTGATTCACATTCATGTGGGATCCACAACACATTGAATTATAGTTTGCCTCAGGACTTTTGTAACTCCCCTGTCCTCTATAGTATAGTCTTATGACTATACTAGACATACTGGATATCCTAAAGGATATTAAATCAGCTCATTTCATTTACAACTTCATGTTGACTGGGGCGAATGAGCAGCAGGTAGAAAGTGCACTGGCATCGTTGGCAAAACATTTGCACTTCAGAAGGTGAAGATAAACCTTACAGAGCTTCAGGAAAGGTCACTGTAGTGAAGTTTTATGAGTCCAGTGTTTAGGGGAATGCCAGGGGTGTCCCCTCCTAGGTAAATTACAAAGTGTTGCATTTTGCATCCTTACTGCAAAAAAAGAAAGCACTCTTGGAGTTCTGACGACAGCACATTCCACATGTAGAAATGTTGCTTTGGCCCACACTCTAGGTGACATAGGAGGAGGCCAGCTTCAAGTGAGGCCTACACAGGAAAGCACCCTGCAGCAGATACAGGCTGCGGTGCAGCCACCATCCCTCAGACCTCTTGGTACTGGAAGGGGCAGGGGTGGGGAAAGATGCAGGATGGAGCTGAACCAAGCAGCAGTGGGAGAGTCATGGTGGAGGGCCTGGGATCTGGAGTAAGATCATGTCATCCACAGCAGAGACATGGCTCCCCATTAGAAGCAACTTTTAGTGTTCCTGGTCCTGATTCGATAGAATGCTTAACCACAGGACACCAAGCAACGATGTGATTCCAAGTACCTGTGTGAATTGGCTTCTGTGTGACCCAGAAAGTCATAGATTGGACAGGCCCAACAGCATTCATCATGAGGTGAAAATGGTCCACCTGGGTTGTGCTTGAATCCCATGTTGACACCCCCAGAAAACACCCAAGTCTGAAGCAGCACTGAACAACCAAACAGACAAATGGAAGTTAGCCAGCCTTCACTATGGGTCAATGCAGGCCTGGTAGGATGGGCACATGAATGGAGCAAGCACAGTGGCAGGCATGAGGCTACATATGGGGCCAGAAGTACTGACTCCCCATTATCAAGACAGATCCAGCTGCTGCCACCTCTGAATGTCCAACTCATCAGCATTTGAGGCCCACCATGTGCCCTAGTGGGGCACTATTTCTTTAGGTGACTAACTAGCCACTATGTAACAAGTTGACTACATTTAGCTACTTCCATCCTAGAAGGGCCTGAGGTTCATCTTCACAGGGGTAGGCTCATATTCCATGGGTGAGTTTTCCTGTCCTGCTCTCGGACACTCAGCCAGCACCACTCTCTGGGTGCTGTTGACATTCCTGATCCACAGGCTAGGTGGTGCTCCCAACCCAGTATCTGCCTGAAGGACCCACTTGGCAGGGAAAGTTCCAGTGTTTCCGTGGCTATGGGTTTCACTGATCTGATCACCATCTGCACCACCCAGGGGCTGCCAGCCACAAGGAATGCTGGAAATGTCTTCTACAGGCAAAACTCAGTGTCATCCTGGAGGAAGCACTCTGAGGGGTGGGGGCCGTTTTTCAGGACATGGTGCATTGTTTGAATCAGAGACATCTCTACGGTGCTGTGTTCTCAATAGGAAGAATATGTGGGTCTAGAAACCGAAAGTTGGAAGCAGGTTTGTCTCCATGTCCAGTCTCTTAGATTCACCCACTGGGGTATTTTGCACGTTTTATCTCCCAACTTTGGGCTGTTCAGGGCAGGAGGTCCTTAAAAGGAGACACATGACAGCCCATTGAACTACACATTATGGTTGTCACCAGAGAAGTTTGGACAGTATGTGCCCAGAGACCAGCTGGTGAGAAAAGGAGTCTCTTCCTCTCCAGGTGCAGGTAATAGATCCTGCTCTCCAGGAGGAGGCATGGCTACTTTCACACAATGAGGGCAGAAGTGTGTGTGTGAGAACCAGAGATCTACTTGGGGGCCTTCTGGTTTGCCTTGTCCCTTTGTAAATGTGAGCAGAATCATCCAGCAATCCAGCCTGAGAGGATTTGATTTCCAAGGGCCCAGACCTCTCAGGACAGGAGGTTTGAGCCACACTCCTGGGTAATCACCCAAGGCCCCACTCCTGTGCTCTGACATCCTCAGTGTCATTGGTGCAGAGACCCTGCTTCCCATGGGCTGTTCCCAGCCAGTGATGGGTCACACCAGTGACACTGAGGCAGGACATTCCTGGGAGACCAGGGACTCCTCTGACGGACAGCAGTGGCTCAAAGACTCCTCCATGGCTTTGCTCAACTCTCCTGAGATTGCCTGTGGTCTAGGACACATCCAGTAAACCTTCTGTCCTTCTGTCCATCACTGGGGGTCACATTTGCATCTTGGTCTGTTGCCTTTCCCAGGGTAACCTGCCTCCGTTGCTATATCTCTGACAGGTGTGTCCCCTAATAAAATCCTGTAACTTTAATCCCATGATGGCACTTGGAATGCAAAATCATTTTCATCTGCACACCAGTGACCTCTTACTTACTCCAATTTGTAAAATCCTTTTGTTTGTTCAACTTCTACCTGCATTGGCTCCATTTTGCTAGTATTTGTATTATGCTTTTGAGATAGTCGATGTTTGTTGCTTTAAGTCACTAAATTTGGGGGTAGTTTGTTATACAGCAATGGATAACTAATGAAGCCCTCTTACATTTCTGTTATTCTATAGAGGTTAAATACATCCGTTTTATTTCCTCCCATTTTGATAATATTAGCCATATATTGGGTTCCTAGTTTCTCTACGCCTGTTTTTTTCTTTATTTTCGTTTCTTTTCTCCTTTATTCCTTCCCTTTCTTCTCACTTCTATCTCTCCCTCCCTCTCTTTCTTTTCTATTTCCATTTGCCCTCCCTCCCTCCTTCTCTTCCCCTTCCTTCTTTGCTTCCTTCACTCCTCTCTCCTTCTTTCTCTCCTTTCCTCCATTTTTTTCTTTTTTATTATGACATATTCTGACATATAAAATAACCCTATGTGTTTGTACTATAAGGAAACATTTTCTGAATCTATATGTTAAAAGTATAAAGCCATGGTATATAGGATACAAGTTAACAACAGGAAGTTATTAACAGAGTCTGAATAAGAATGCCTGCTATAGGCTGGGCATGGTGACTCATGCCTGTAATCCCAGCACTTTGGGAGGCCTAGACGGGCGGATCACGAGGTCAGGGGATAGAGACCATCCTGGCTAACACGGTGAAACCCTGTCTTTACTAAAAATACAAAAAAAAAATTAGCCGGTGTGGTGGCGGGCACCTGTAGCCCCAGCTACTCAAGAGGCTGAGGCGGGAGAATGGCGTGAACCCAGGAGGTGGAGCTTGCAGTGAACCGAGATTGTGCCACTGCACTCCAGCCTGGGCGACAGAGCAAGACTCCGTCAAAAAAAAAAAAAATCTGCTATAATTCTGCAGCCAAGGCAGTTGCTATTAACTCTTAATTCCTTCAACTCAGTGTTTTCAGAACACATCAACATCACATATTACACATTTATTGTAAAAGCTTAAGTTGGCACAATTACTTTGGAAATCATATTATCATTATTTAGTATGGTTAAAGGCCATACAACATATCATCCAACCATCCCACTCCTAATCATACACTCTGGCGGCTTTCTCGCCTATGTGCCCAGGAGACATGCACACTAATGTTTATGGCAAAAACTGGAATCAGCCTCCTATACATCAATAGCAAAGTAGTGAAATTGTGGTATAACCATAAAATGTAAACCTTCAGCAGTAAAAATGAGTGAATGACAGCCTCCCACACAACAGATAACTCCTATACATAATGTGCATCATGAGAAAAGAAATGTAGTAGGAATTTCTGTACAGGAAGCTTAAAAACCAGTGAAACTAATATTTGGTTTGAGATTATATATACTTATTGTACAAATATTTAAAGAAATACAAAGTAATAATAAAAACAAGACTCAGGATGGGGTCTCATTCTGGGGGATGTGAGTGGGCAGCAGCCCAGGGTGGCTTTGCGGGTTCTGTGTCTTATGCCAGTGCTGGGAACCCAGGTAACTACTAGATTATAACTCCTTAAACAGTATTTTTCAAACTAAAATATACCTGTTTCTTAAAAAATGAAAGAAAAAAATATCAAAGTTCATTGCAAGGATCCTTAACAAGAACTACTTACATTGGAAGAAAGCCACAGAGAATTGTAAGGAGCCACATGACAGAGAGGCTCCTTACAGGATGCCATGACAATACCCTTGGCTAAAGGGCCATATGATCCTTGGCTCACAGGCATCTCTCTAGATTTTCAGGTATACAAGATTCAATCTGATGTGCAAGGTAATTCCATTTTGCAAAGGATTTGATTTGTTACATATTCCACACATACAACTGAATTAAACTTTTACAGAATTGGAAATGCACATCATTGATCAAAATAGATGAAACAATAAAAGAGTATAAAGGAACAACCAGTGATGGAATAGCAAATATGAATGGAAAACACAACAGGATTGCTCAAAAAAACTTGAAAGCACAAAATTGCAGTGCTATTTAGAATCATAGTGGTGTCCAAATCACTTCTATCGTATCTGATTCAATACCAGAACAAAAGATGTTAAGTTTATTATAGAATGCTCACCAAATAGCCAGTTTTTGAAAAATCTTATGCCTCAGTTGGAGCTAACCATTTTGGGCTACTGCATCCAACCAAAGCTATTGACATCTTGCTAAGCTAGATGTGTTAACTGAGGTATGAGATTCACATTTTTGTAAATTAAAACCAATTAGGCAAATTTTTTAAAGTGAAATCAAGTTTATGAGAGAAGTAAGGAAACAAAAGAATGGCTACTCAATAGACACAACAGCCCTTTTTTTTAAGTGTAGGCAAATGTTTTTTGAAGATGATATTTCAATAAGAAAATTGGCACTTGGGGCATACTTCAACTAAATGTGAGACACCTTAGTTGAAACAAAGACTTATTTTCAAGTCATTATTTTTACGGCACAGAAGTCTTTGGAATATTTGCTCTAGTTACTCTGGGTTCTCAACTGTTGACTCATTGAAGAGAATATTGTTATTAAAGGTATTTGCAAGAAAAACTCAGACATACTATTGTATCCTCTTTCTCTGTCTCAAACAGTTTTCCCCACAACACCCAAGGCTCTGTGATGTCTCAAACTTTTAATCATTAATTTAAAAAGAGAAGCTTATCACAGAATTAGAAGAAACTATTTTAAAATTCATATGGAACCAAAAAAGAGCTCATATAGCCCGGACAATCCTACACAAAAAGAACAAAGCAGGCGGCCTCAGACTACCTGATTTCAAACTATACTACAGGCTACAGTAACCAAAACAGCATGGTAATAGACTAATGGAAGAGAGTAGAGAACTCAGAAATAAAACCGCATATCTAAAACCATCTGATCTTCAACAAACCTGATGAAAACAAGCAACAGGGAAATGATTCCATATTTAATAAATGATGTTGGGAAAACGGGCTAGCCATTTGCAGAAAACTGAAACTGGACCCCTTCCTTACATCTTACACAAAAATTAACTCTAGATGGATTAAAGACCTAAATGTAAAACCCAAAACTATAAAAACCCAAGAAGAAAATCTAGGCAATACCATTTGCCTGGGCATGGGCAAAGATTTTATGATGAAATCGCCAAAAGCATCTGCCACAAAAGCAAAAACTGACAAATGGGATCTAATTAAACTAAAGAGCTTCTGCACAGGAAAAGACACTGTGATCAGAGTGAACAGACAACCTACAGAATGAAAGAAAATTTTTGTAATCTATCCATCTGACAAAGATCTAATATCCACAATCTACAAGGAAATTAAGCAAATTTACAAGAAAATAACAAACAACCCCATTAAAAAGTGGGCAAATGACATGAACAGACACTTCTCAAAAGAAGACATACATGTGGCCAACAAACATATGAAAAAAAGCTCATCATCACTGGTCATTAGAGAAATGCAAATCAAAACCACAATGAGATACCATCTCATGCCAGTCAGAATGGTGATTATTAAAAAGTCAAGAAACAACAGATACTGGCAAGGTTGCAGGGAAATAGGAATGCTTTAACTGTTGGTGGGAATGTAAATTAGTTCAACCATTGTGGAAGACAATATGACGATTCCTCAAAGATCTAGAACTAGAAATACCATTTGACCCAGCAATCCCATTACTGGGTATATACCCAAAGAAATATAAATCATTCTATTATAAAGTTACATCCATGTGTATGTTCATTGCAGCACCACTCACAATAGCAAAGACATGGAATCAACCTAAATGCGCATCAACAATAGACTGGATAAAGAAAACATATGACATGTACACCAAGGAATACTATGCAGCCTTAAAAAGGAAGGAGATCATGTTTTGCAGGGACATGGAAAAAGCTGGAAGCCATTATCCTCAACAAACTAATGCAGAAACAGAAAAACAAACACTGCATGTTCTCACTGATAATTGGGAGCTGAGCAATGAGAATCCATGGGCACTGGGAGGGGAACACTGTGTCCTTTTGGGGGAGGGCAGAGGTGGGGTGCGCATTAGGAAAAATAGCTCATTCATGCTAGGCTTAATACCTAGGTGCTGGGTTGATAAGTGTAGCAAAACACCATGGCACACGTTTACCTATGTAACAAATCTGCACATCCTGCATATGTACCCTGAAACTTAAAATAAAAATTAAAAAGAAGCTTAAAGCATTAAAGAAAAATAATCACATGAAAGAAGCATTTGATTTACAAAATCCTGAAATAATAATTTTAATTTTGCTTTCAACATTTATGCAAATCCCTTGATACTCCTCCCTTCCAATGGTGCAGCTTAATTCCTTCCCTGTGAGTTCGGCTTGGACTTAATGATGCACTTCTGATATGGCCTCGCCCTGTGTCCCCACCCAAACTCATCTTGAATTGTAATCCCCACGTGCTAGGGGAAAGACATGGTGGGAAGTGATTAGATCATGGGGATGGTTCCCTCATGCTGTTCTCATGATAGTGAGTGAGTTCTATGAGATCTGATGGTTTTGCAAGAGTCTTCCCTGCCACCCCCGCCCCTGACAACCTTGCATTTCTCTCTCCCACCACCATGTGAAGAATGACATGCTTCCTTCCCCTTCTGCCATGATTGTAAATTTCCTGAGGCCGCCTCTTCAGTCATGCAGAACTGTGAGTCAATTAAACCTCTTTCCTTTATAAATTACCCAGTCTCAGGTATTTCTTTATAGCAGTGTGAGAACAGACAAATACAACTTCTAACTGATAGAGTAGTGCTGATATAACAGTTTTTGACTCTGGGTGTAGAACATAAAACTCACTGCAGCTTCTCTCTCTCTGTCTCTGGGATCATGAGCTCTGGGGGAAGCCAACTGCTGTGCCATAAGCAGCCCTGCAGGAAGGTCCATGTGGCTAAAAACTGAGGCCTCCTGGGACCGGACAACAAGGAACCATGTGAGTGAGCCATGTTTCTTGTAAATCCCAAGCCCTAGTGAAGCTCTCAGATGATGCAGCCCTGGACTGGACTGTAACCTTGTGAGAGGCTCTGAGCCAGAAGCACTCAGGGAAACCTTGCTCCTGGATTCCTGACCATTGGAAACTGCGGTAGATGATGTTTGTTGTTTTGCGCTGCTAAGTTTTATGTAATTTGTTATGCAATAGTAAATAACTAATACATTTTCATAAGAGAGGATGATTTATTGCACTTCAATTTTCATTTGCTCTAAATTTATGATCATGATTATTACTATTTTTGAGACAGCATCTTGCTCTGTCACAGAGGCTAGAGTGCAGTGGCATGTTCACCATTCACTGCTGTGTTGACTTCCTGTGCTCAAATATCCTCTGACCTCAGCCTCCTGAGTAGCTGGCTGGGACTACAGGCATGAACCACCATGCCTGGATAATACTCTAATGTTTTTGTAGAGATGGAGGTTTCACCATGTTGCCCAGGCTGATCTCAAACTCTTGGAGTCAATGGATCTGCCTTCCTCTGCCCGCCACAGTGCTAGGATTGTAGGTGCCAGCCACCACACCTGGCATGAATTAATTATAAGCTATTAAACCTGTCACTTGATTTTAAGAGGTAAGGTGAATCTCCATGGCTGAAGAGGATGTATTTTATTATCATTCACAATGATCGCTTTACTTGAACTTCAATTTCCAACTGTGTCACAATTAAACACAAAAGGAAAATCCAACCCTTGCTAGGCTGATTCTATAATAGCCCCAACAACCAGCTCCTGGTCATCCACCTTCCCCCAATTATTCAACCAACTCTACTGTAGGTGCTGCTGTGAAGGGATTTAGCAGATATAATCAAGGTCCTCAATCAGTTGACTTGAGGCTGGGTTTAGCCTGCTTGGACACTCCTAATCAGGTGAGCCCATGAAAGGACTGGGTTCTTCCTGAGCATAGAGATTCACAGTGTGAGAGGGATTCAGTGTGAGGGGTTTCCTCCACTGTGGGCTTTGAAATTGAAGGGGCTGACTAGAAAAGAATGCTGTTTGGCTCCAGGCATTGAGCACAGCCCTCCCTCCTCTCTACCTTGACAGCTAGCAGGGAACAGGAAACTCAGTCTTAACGACTGTCAGAAACTGAATTCTGCCGCCTCTATATATGCTTGAAGGAGGATTCAAAATGAAAACACAGCTTTGGGAAGCCCTGAATAGAGACCCCGTCTACATCATGCCTGGATTTCTGCCTAAAGAACTGTAAACAGATCAGTGGATGTTGTTTGGGCAGGTGTGGTAGCACACACCTGCAATCCTAACATTTGAGGGGCTTACACAGGAGGATCACTTACACTCAGGAATTTGAGACCAGCCTGGGTAATGCAATGAGACCCTCATCTCTACAATTTTTTTTTAATTAGCTGGGCGTGGTGGCATTTGCCTGTAGTTCTAGTTACTCTGAAGACTGAGCCAGGAGGATCCTTTGAGCCCAGGATTTCAAGGCTGCAGTGAGCCATGACTGTGTGACTGCACTTCAAAATGGATGAGAGAAAGAGACCATTTCTCTAAAAATAAATGAATTAATTAAATAAATGGGTATTGTTTAAAGCCAATATTTGTGATAATTTGTTATGCAGTCATAAAATTCGTACAGTCTCAACAGACAAATGGAATGAATTTATGAATTGATATGCACACTAGTTACATAAAATAAAAACTTTCTCAATCTTTTCCAGTATTGTTTATTTTATAATTTTCTGTGATGAAATTAAATTTTAATACACTCATATTTCATTTATTCAGTCAACAAAAATTAATTTGGGGAATAGGAACAGCTCCAGTCTACAGCTCCCAGGGTGAGCAATGCAGAAGACGAATGATTTCTGCATTTCCAACTGAGGTACCAGGTTCATCTCACTGGGGACTGTCAGACAGTGGGTGCAGGACAGTGGGTGCAGTGCACCAAGTGTGAGCCAAAGCAGGGCGAGGCCACGCCTCACCCAGGAAGCGCAAGGGGTCAGGGAATTCCCTTTCCTAGCCAAGGAAAGGGGTGACAGATGGCACCTGGAAAATTAGGTCACTCCCACCCTAATACTGCACTTTTCCTATGGTCTTAGCAAACGGCACACCGAGAGATTATATCCCATGCCTGGCTCGCAGGGTCCTACACCCACAGAGCCTCGCTCATTGCCAGCACAGCAGTCTGAGATCAAACTGCAAGGCGGCAGCAAGGCTGGGGGAGGGGTGCCCGCCATTGCTGAGGCTTGAGTAGGTAAACAAAGCGGCCAGGAAGCTCGAGCTGGGTGGAGCCCACACAGCTCAAGGAGGCCTGCCTGCCTCTGTAGACTCCACCTCTGGGGGCAGGGCATAGCCAAACAAAAGGCAGCAGAAACCTCTGCAGACTTAAATGTCCCTGTCTGACAGCTTTGAAGACAGTAGTGGTTCTCCCGCATGCAGCTTGAGATCTGAGAACAGACAGACTGCCTCCTCAAGTGGGTCCCTGACTCCCAAGTAGCCTGACTGGGAGGCACCCCCCAGTAGGGGCAGACTGACACGTCACACGGCCGAGTACTCCTCTGAGACAAAATCTCCAGAGGAAAGATCAGGCAGCAACATTTGCTGTTCACCAATATGCATTGTTCTGCAGCCTCCACTGCTGATACCCAGGCAAACAGGGTCTGTAGTGGACCTCCAGCAAACTCCAACAGACCTGCAGCTGAGGGTCCTGACTGTCAGAAGGAAAACTAACAAACAGAAAGGACATCCACACCAAAACCCCATCTGTACGTCACCATCATCAAAGACCAAAGGTAGATAAATCCACAAAGACGGGGAAAAAACAGAGCAGAAAAACTGAAAATTCTAAAAATCAGAGTGCCTCTCCTCCTCCAAAGGAATGCAGCTACTCACTAGCAATGGAACAAAGCTGGAAGGAGAATGACTCTGATGAGTTGAGAGAAGAAGGCTTCAGACGATCAAACTTCTCCGAGCTAAAGGAGGAAGTTCGAACCCATGACAAAGAAGTTAAAAACCTTGAAAAAAGATGAGATGAATGGCTAACTAGAATAACCAATGCAGAGAAGTCCTTAAAGGACCTGATGGAGCTGAAAACTACGGCACGAGAACTAAGTGATGAATGCACAAGCTTCAGTAGCTGATTCGATCAACTGGAAGAAAGGTTATCAGTGATGGAAGATCAAATGAATGAAATGAAGTGAGAAGAGAAGTTTAGAGAAAAAAGAATAAAAAGAAATGAACAAAGCCTCCAAGAAATATGGGACTATGTGAAAAGACCAAATCTGCATCTGATTGGTGTACCTGAAAGTGACGGAGAGAATGGAACCAAGTTGGAAAACACTCTGCAGGATATTATCCAAGAGAACTTCCCCAATCTAGCAAGGCAGGCCAACATTCAAATTCAGGAAATAGAGAGAACACAACAAAGATACTCCTCAAGAAGAGCAACTCCAAGACACATAATTGTCAGATTCACCAAAGTTGAAATTAAGGAAAAAATGTTAAGGAAAGACAGAGAGAAAGGTCGGGCTACCCACAAAGGGAAACCCATCAGACTAACAGCTGATCTCTCGGCAGAAACTCTACAAGGCAGAAGAGAGTAGGGGCCAATATTCAACTTTCTTAAAGAAAAGAATTTTCAGCCCAGAATTTCAAATCCAGCCAAACTAAGCTTTGTAAGTGAAGGAGAAATAAAATCCTTGACAGACAAGCAAATCCTGAGAGATTTTGTCACCACCAGGCCTTCCTTACAAGAGATCCTGAAGGAAGCACTAAACATGGAAAGGAACAACTGGTACCAGCCACTGCAAAAACATGCCAAATAGTAAAGACCATTGAGGCTAGGAAGAAACTGCATCAACTAATGAGCAAAATAACCAGCTAACATCATAATGACAGGATCAAATTCACACATAACAATATTAACCTTAAATGTAAATGGGCTAAATGCTCCAATTAAAAGACACAGACTGGCAAATTGGATAAAGAGTCAAGACCCATCAGTGTGCTGTATTCAGGAAACCCATCTCACGTGCAGAGACACACATAGGCTCAAAATAAAGGGATGGAGGAAGATCTACCAAGCAAATGGAAAACAAAAAAAGGCAGGGGTTGCAATCCTACTCTCTGATAAAACAGACTTTAAACCAACAAAGATCAAAAGAGACAAAGAAGGCCAATACATAATGGTAAAGGGATCAATTCAATGAGAAGAGCTAACTATCCTAAATATATATGCACCCAATACAGGAGCACCCAGATTCATAAAGCAAGTCCGTAGAGACATATAAAGAGACTTAGACTCCCACACAATAGTAATGGGAAACTTTAACACCCCACTGTCAACATCGGACAGATCAATGAGACAGAAAGTTAACAAAGATATCCAGGAATTGAACTCAGCTCTGCACCAAGCAGACCTAATAGACATCTACAGAACTCTCCACCCCAAATCAACAGAATATACATTCTTCTCAGCACCACACCGCACTTATTCCAAAACTGACCACATAGTTGGAAGTAAAGCACTCCTCAGCAAATGTAAAAGAACAGAAATTATAACAAACTGTCTCTCAGACCACAGTGCAATCAAACTAGAACTCAGGATTAAGAAACTCACTCAAAACTGCTCAACCACATGGAAACTGAACAACCTGCTCCTGAATGACTACTGGGTACATAATGAAAGGAAGGCAGAAATAAAGAGGTTCTTTGAAACCAACGAGAACAAAGACACAACATACCAGAATCTCTGGGATGCATTCAAAGCAGTGTGTAAAGGGAAATTTATAGCACTAAATGCCCACAACAGAAAGTAGGAAAGATCTAAAATCGACACCCTAACATCACAATTAAAAGAACTAGAGAAGCAAGAGCAATCACATTCAAAAGCTAGCAGAAGGCAAGAAATAACCAAGATCAGGGCAGAACTGAAGGAGATAGAGACACAAAAAACCCTTCAAAAAATCAATGAATCCAGGAGCTGATTTTTTGAAAAGACCAACAAAATTGATAGACCGCTAGCAAGACTAATAAAGAGAGAAGAATCAAATAGATGCAATAAAAATGATAAAGGGGATATCACCACCAATCCCACAGAAATACAAACTACCATCAGAGAATACTATAAACACCTCTATGCAAATAAACTAGAAAATCTAGAAGAAATGGATAAATTCCTCGACGCATACACCCTCCCAAGACTAAACCAGGAAGAAGTTGAATCTCTGAATATACCAATAACAGGCTCTGAAATTGAGGCAATAATTAATAGCTTACCAACCAAAAATAGTCCAGGACCAGATGGATTCACAGCCGAATTCTACCAGAGGTACAAGGAGGAGCTGGTACCATTCCTTCTGAAACTATTCCAATCAATAGAAAAAGAGAGAATCCTCCCTAACTCATTTTATGAGGCCAGCATCATCCTGATAGCAAAGCCGGGCAGAGACACAACAAAAAAAGAGAATTTTCGACCAATATCCCTGATGAACATAGATGCAAAAATCCTCAATAAAATACTGGCAAACCGAATCCAGCAGCACATCAAAAAGCTTATCCACCATGATCAAGTGGGCTTCATCCCTGGGATGCAAGGCTGGTTCAACATACGAAAATCAATAAACATAATCCAGCATTTAAAGAGAACCAACGACAAAAACCACATGATTATCTCAATAGATGCAAAAAAGGCCTTTGACAAAATTCAACAACCTTCATGCTAAAAACTCTCAATAAATTAAGTATTGATGGGACGTATCTCAAAATAATAAGAGCTATCTATGACAAACCCACAGCCAATATCATACTGAATGGGCAAAAACTGGAAGCATTCCCTTTGAAAACTGGCACAAGACAGGGATGCCCTCTCTCATCACTCCTATTCAACATAGTGTTGGAAGTTCTGGCCAGGGCAATTAGGCAGGAGAAGGAAATAAAGGGTATTCAATTAGGAAAAGAGGAAGTAAAATTGTCCCTGTTTGCAGATGACACGACTGTATGTCTAGAAAACCCCATCATCTCAGCCCAAAATCTCCTTAAGCTGATAAGCAACTTCAGCAAAGTCTCAGGATACAAAATCAATGTGCAAAAATCACAAGCATTCTTACACACCAATAACAGACAGACAGCCAAATCATGAGTGAACTCCCATTCAAAATTGCTACAAAGAGAATAAAATACCTAGGAATCCAACTTACAAGGGATGTGAAGGACCTCTTCAAGGAGAACTACAAACCTGCTCAATGAAATAAAAGAGGATATAAACAAATGGAAGAACATTCCACGTTCATGGATAGGAAGAATCCATATCATGAAAATGGCCACACTGCCCAAGGTAATTTATAGATTCAATGCCATCCCCATCAAGCTACCAATGACTTTCTTCACAGAATTGGAAAAAACTACTTTAAAGTTCATATGGAACCAAAAAAGAGACCACATTGCCAAGAGAATCCTAAGCCAAAAGAACAAAGCTGGAGGCATGACGCTACCTGACTTCAAACTATACTACAAGGCTGCAGTAACCAAAACAGTATGGTACTGGTACCAAAACAGAGATACAGACCAATGGAACAGAACAGAGGCCTCAGAAGTAACACCACACATCTACAATCATCTGATCTTTGACAAACCTGACAGAAACAAGCAATAGGGAAAGGTGCTGGGAAACTTAATAAATGGTGCTGGGAAAACTGGCTAGCCACATGTAGAAAGCTGAAACTGGATCCCTTCCTTACAACTTATACAGAAATTAATTCCAGATGGATTAAAGACTTCAATGTTAGACCTAAAACCATAAAACCCAAAAGAAAACCTAGGCAATACCACTTAGGAAATCAGCATGGGCAAGGATTTCGTGACTAAAACACCAAAAGCAATGGCAACAAAAGCCAAATTAGACAAATGGGATCTAATTAAACTAAAAAGCTTCTGCACAGCAAAAGAAACTACCATCAGAGTGAACAGGCAACCTACAGAATGGGAGAAAATTTTTGCAGTCTACCCATCAAACAACCCCATAAAAAGTGGGCAAAGGATATGAACAGGCACTTCTCAAAAGAAGACATTTATGCAGCCAACAGACACATGAAAAAATGCTCATCATCACTGGCCATCAGAGAAATGCAAATCAAAACCACAATGAGATACCATCTCACACCAGTTAGAATGGCGATCATTAAAAAGTCAGGAAACAACAGGTGCTGGAGAGGATGTGGAGAAACAGGAACACTTTTACACTGTTGGTGGGACTGTAAACTAGTTCAACCATTGTGGAAGACAGTGTGGCAATTCCTGAAGGATCTAGAACTAGAAATACCATTTGACCCAGCCATCCCATTACTGGGTATATGCCCAACGGATTATAAATCACGCTACTATAAAGACACATGCACATGTATGTTTATTGTGGCACTATTCACAATAGCAAAGAATTGGAACCAACCCAAATGTCCATCAATGATAGACTAGATTAAGAAAATGTGGCACATATACACCATGGAATACTATGCAGCCATAAAAAGGATGAGTTCATGTCCTTTGTAGTGACATGGATGAAGCAGGAAACCATCATTCTGAGCAAACTATCGCGAAGACAGAAAATCAAACAGCGCATGTTCTCACTCATAGGTGAATTGAACAATGAGAACACTTGGACACAGGGTGGGGAACATCACACACTGGGGCCTGTCGTCAGGTGGCGGGATGGGGGAAGGATAGCATTAGGAGAAATACCTAATGTAAATGACTAGTTAAAGAGGGCAGCAAACCAACAGGGCACATGCATACATATGTGACAAACCTGCACGTTATGCACATGTACCATAGAACTTAAAGTATAATTTTAAAAAAATGTAAGAGAAAAGAATACCAAAGTTAATTGCAAGGATCCTTAATAAGAACTACTTACATTGGAAGCAAACCACAGAGAATTGTAAGGAGTCATGTGACAGAGAGGACCAGGATGCCATGAAAATGGACTTGGCTAAAAATAGGTCATTTAACCCTTGGCTGACTGGCATCTCTCTAGATTTTCAGTTATACAATGTTCAATCTGCTGTGCAAGGTAATTCCATCTTGCAAAGGATTTGATGTTACATTCTACCACACATACAACTGAATTAAACTTTTACGGAATTGGAAATGCAAATAATTGATCAAAATAAATCAAACAAGAAAAGAATAGGAAGGAATAACCAGTGATGGAATATCAAATATGAATGGAAAACAGAATAGGACTGCTAAAAAGAAAAAAAGCTTCAGAAGCACATAATAGCCGTGTTATTTAGAATCATAGTGGTGTGCAAATGACTTCTATCACATCTCATTCAATACCAGAGCAAAAGATGTTAAGTTTATTATGTAATGCCCACCAAATAGCTAGCTTTTGAAAAAAACTTGTTTCTCAATTTGAGCTAACCATTTCAGGCTACTGCATCAAACCAAAGTTATTGGCATCATGCTAAGCTAGATGTGTTGACTGAAGTATGAGATTCACACTTTTGTAAATGAAAAGCAATTTGATTAGGCAATGTTTTCCTAAGTGAAAGCAAGTTATTAGAGAAGTAAAGAAACAAAAGAATGGCTACTCCATATAGCGGAGTTTTTGTTTTTTTTTTTAAGTGTAGGCAAATGTTTAGTGAAGATGATATTTCAATAAGAAAATTGGTGCTTGGGACGTGCTTCCACTAAATTTGAGATATCTTAGACAAAACAAAGTCTTATTTTCAAGACATTATTTTTATCAGACTGAAGTCTTGGAACTATTTGATCTAGTTACTCTATGTTCTCAACTGTGTTAACTAATTGAAAACAACATTGTTATTAAAGGTATTCACAAGAAAAATTCAGAGTTACTGTTGCATATCCTTTCTCTGTTTCAAACTGTTTTCTCCTAAGCACCCAAGGCTCTGTGATGTCTGAAACAGTTAATCATTAATTTTAAAAGATAAGCTTATCGTGGAATTAGAAAAAAAAACTATTTTAAAATTCATATGGATCCAATAAGAGCTCATATAGCAAAGAGAATACTAAGCAAAAAGAACAAAGCTGGAGGCAGCACACTACCCCACTTAAAAGTATACTGTGAGGCTACAGTAAACAAAACAGCATGATACTGGTACAAAAACAGGCACATAGACCAATGGAACAGAATAGAGAATTCACAAAAAAAGTCCGCACATCTACAACCATTTGATCTTCAACAAACCTGACAAAAACAAGCAACGGGGAAAGGATTCCCTATTTAATAAATGGTGATGGGAGAACTGGCTAGCCATATGCAGAAAATTGAAACTAGACCCCTTCCTTACACCTTACACAAAAATTAACTCAAGATAGATTAAAGACTTAAATGTAAAACACAAAATTATAAAAACCCTGAAAGAAAATCTAGGCAATACCATTCAGGACACAGGCATGGGCAAAGATTTTATGATGAAATCGCCAAAAGCATCTGCCACAAAAGCAAAAATTGGCATATGGGATCTAATTAAACAAAAGAGCATCTGCACAGAAAAAGAAACTATCAGAGTGAACAGACACCCTACAGAATGGGAGAAAATTTTTGCAATCTATCTATCTTACAAAGGTCTAATATTCAGAATCTATAAAGAACTTAAGCAAATTTACATGAAAAAAACTTCATTAAAAAGTGAACAAAGGACATGAAGAGACATTTCACAAAATAAGACGTACATGTGGCCAAAAAAACATGAAAAAAAGCTCAACATCACTGATTACAGAAATGCAAATCAAAACCACAAATGAGATACCATCTAATGCCAGTCAGAATGGCAATTATTTAAAACTACATAAACACCAGATGCTGGCGAGGTTGTGGAGAAATAGGAAGGCTTTTACACTGTTGCTGGAAATGTAAATTGGTTGAACCATTGTGGAAGACAGTTTGGTGATTCCTCAAAGATTTAGAACCAGAAATACCATTTGACCCAGCAATCCCATTACAGGGTATACATCCAAAGGAAAATAAATCACTCTACTATAAAGATACATGCATGTGTATGCTTATTGCAGCACTATCCACAATAGCAAAGACATGGAATCAGCCCAAATGCCCATCAATGATGTACTGCATTAAGAAAATATGGTACATATACACCATGGAATATTATGCAGCCACAAAAAGGAATGAGATTCAGTCTTTTGCAGGGATATGGATGAAGCTGGAAGCCATCCTCAGCAAACTAACACAGGAACAGAAAGCCAAACGCCACATGTTCTCACTTATAATTGGGAGATGAGCAATGAGAACACATGGACACAAGGAGAGGAACATCACACACTGGTGCCTGCTGGGGGAGGGCAGTGGTGGGAGGAGTATTAGGAAAAAATAGCTAATGCATGCCAGGGTTAATACATAGGTGATGGTTTGATAGGTGCAGCAAACCACCATGGCACACATTTACCTATGTAACAAACCTGCGCATCCTGCACACATAACCTGGAACTTAAAATTAAATTAAATTAAAAGACAAGCTAAAAGGGTTAACGAAAAATAATTAGATAAAAAAATTTTGATTTTCAAAATCCTGAAACAAGAGTTTTAAATTTGCTTTTAATATATATTCAAATCCTTTAATACTGTTCCCTTCCAGAGATGCTGCTTAATTTCCTCTCTTGAGTGTGGCTGGGACTTAATGATGCATTTCTGATATGGTCTGGCTCTGAGTTCCCACCAAATTCTCATCTTGAATTGTCATGCAAATTGTAATCCCTATGTATCGGGGGAGGGACCTCCTGGGAGGTGATTGGATCACGGGTATGGTACCCCCATGCTGCTCTTATGATGCTGAGGGAATTCTCATGAGATCTGATGGTTTTATGAGGTATTTTTCCCCACTTCGATCTGCAATTCTCTCTCCTGCCACCATGTGAAGAACGACGTGTTTGCCTCCACTTCTGCCATGATTGTAAGTTTCATGGGGCAGCCTTCTCAGCAATGCAGAACTATGAGTCAATTAAACCTCTTTCCTTTATAAATTACCCAGTCTCAGGTATTTCTTTATAGCAATGTGAGAACGGACTAATACAACTTCTAACTGGTAATGCTGACATAAGAGTTTGTGACTCTGGGTGTAGAACATAAAACTCACTGCAGCCTCCCCCTTCTCTCTCAATGTCTCTGGAATCATGAGCTCTGGGGGAAGCCACCTGCTGTGCCATAAGCAGCCCTGAAGGAAGGTCCATGTGGCTGAGAACTGGGGCCTTCTGGGAACAGAAAACAAGGAACTAGGGCTTTTCCAACAGCCATGTGACCCATCCATGTTTCATGTGAATCCTCAGTCCCAGTGAAGCACTCAGATGATGCAGGCCTAGGCTGACAACTGGACTGCAACCTTGTGAGAGGCCCTGAGCAAGAAGCACTCAGGGAAACCTCTCCTGGATTCCTGACCATTGGAACCTGCGGGAGATGATGAATATTTGCCATTTTGAGCTGCTAAGTTTTACATAATTTGTTATGCAATAGTAAATAACTAACACATTTTCACAAAAGAGGATGTAGTATTACACATTAATTTGCATTTGCTCTAAATTTATCATTATTATTAATATTATTGTTATTGAGACAGGGTCTCGCTCTGTCGCCCAGGCTGGAGTGCAGTGGCATGATCACCATGCACTGCAGTGTCGACTTCCTGGGCTCAAGGGACCCTCTTATCTCAGCGTCCTGAGTAACTGGGACTACAGGCATGAAGCACCACGCCTGGCTAATTTTCTAAATTTTTTTGTAGAGATGGGGGTTTCTCCATGTTGCCCAGGCTGATCTTCAACATCTGGAGTCAACAAATCTGCCTTCCTCTGCCTTCCACGGTGCTAGAATCACAGGTGTGAGCCACCACACCTGGCCTAAATTAATTATAAGACATTACACATGTAACTTAGTTTTAAAAGGTAAGGAGAATGTCCATGGCTGAAGAGGATGCATTTTATTACTATTCACAATGATCACTTTACTTGAACTTCAATTTCCAACTGTGTCCAAATTAAACACAAAAGGAAGATCCAACCCTTGCTGGGCTGATTCTTTGATGGCCCCCAACAGCCACCTCCCGGTCATTCACTTTCCCCCAGTTATTCAAGCAACTCTAGTGTAGATGCTGCTGTGAAGGGATTTAGCAGATATAACTAAGGGCCTCAATTAGTTGACTTTAGGCTGGGTTTATCCTGCTTTGACTGTCCTAATAAGGTGAGTCCTTGAAAGGTCTGTGTTCTTTCTGAGCATAGAGATTTGCAGTGTGAGAGGGATTCAGCATGAGGGGTTTCCTCTACCGTGGGCTTTGAAAATGAAGAGGCTGTGTAGGAAAGAACACTGTTAGGCACCAGGAATTGAGCACAGCCCTGCCTATTCTCTGTATTGACAGCCAGCAAGGAACAGAAACCTCAGTCTTACAACTGCCAGAAACTGCATTCTGCCACCTCTGTATAAGCCTGAAGGAGGATTCAAAATGAAAACACAGCTTTTGGAAGCCCAGAACAGGGATTCTATCCACATCTTGCCCAGATTTCTGACCAAGGAAGTATAAGCAGATAAATGGGTGTTGTTTTGCCAGTCGTGGTAGTGCACGAATGAATTGATGAATTGATATGCACACTAATTACATAAAATAAAATATTTCTTAACTTTTTCAGTATTTTACATTTTATAATTTTCTGTGATGCAATTTAATAGACTCATATTTCATTCATTCAGTCAAGAAAAATTAATTTAATCCCTACAATGAACCAGGTGTGCCCTCATATGCTTACGTGCCTGACATTCCAGAAGCTTCACAAGACCAAGGTGGAGCCAGTGGAATGTTTTAGGTGGAGAAATGACACACTCTGACTCACAGGAGCAGGACCACTGTGCAGAGAACAGTCACGTAGCAGGTAATGGGACAGTGCTAGTGTCACAAATAAGGAGTGACAAGGTGGTGGGGACTAAGGGGAGAGGAGGGCCTGAGGGATGAGAGGAATGGAGGGAAGGGCTGGAGATGCAGGAGGTGAGGAAATGGAGCAGAGGGAAAGAATTCGAAAGCAGCAGAACTCAGGTTTAAACACATTGTTTTATATATTTTAATACATCAATCTACAGAGCCTTGCAGGGTGATCTTTGCAGTTGGCCTTTAATACCTTATGTGGGTCTGCCTAAAAACTAATTTTTTTATGTTAATCAGGTTTAAAAAATACTAAGTGTTCATATAAAATATACACAACACTTAGAAGTGGATACTTCCTAAAAACAGGCAGTGCATGAGCACTGGTGAGGGGCATTGTGACTGCATTGAGTGCTTGCCACTGTGAGATGAATAAAGTCCGTACTGGCTCCTGGTTACAACATATAGTAACACAGTGGCTACCTTGTATTAGGAGATGTCCTGGACTCACACAGAAACTCAGGGCTATGGAATGAAGGTAAATTTAAAATACTACAAGCGGGAGTCACAGATACATTGTCTGGGAAAGTGAAACTTAGGAGCTTTGTGATTCCTGTTGTAATGCTTTTAGACACATTTATATGTCAAGGGACCAAAGTCACATTTTTGGCCGATTAGATTCCTGATCATTAGGAGTTACCAAGATTCTGCTACCCACTGTAGTTAATAAACAAAAAGCAAACTGGTCTCTATTCTATCTCATGCACTCAGGCACAACTTTTCCAGATTTAAAAAACAAACAAACAACAACAACAAAAAACCCTGTCTCTACACCTCCATTCCCAGGGCAAGCTCACTCTCTGGCAACAAGCTCCCTGGGGTGATTTTTCTTCTAGAAGAGTCCACGGGGACAGGTAAGGAGTAGGAGGCAGGGAGTCCAGTTCTGGGACGGGGATTCCGTGATGCAAAGTGAAGAGAGAGGGACGGGGCCCATTCCGAGGGTTTCTCCCTGGTTTCTCAGACAGCTCCTGGGCCAAGACTCAGGGAAACATTGAGACAGAGCGCTTGGCACAGAAGTAGCGGGGTCAGGGCGAAGTCCCAGGGCCTCAGGCGTGGCTCTCAGGATCTCAGGCCCCAAAGGCGGTGTATGGATTGGGGAGGCCCAGCGCTGGGCATTCCCCATCTTTGCAGGGTTTCTCTTCTCCCTCTCCCAACCTGTGTCGGGTCCTTCTTCCTGGGTACTCACCGGGCTGCCCCAGTTCTCACTCCCATTGAGTGTCGGGTTTCTAGAGAAGCCAATCAATGTAGCCGCGGTCCCGGTTCTAAAGTTCCCACGCACCCACCGGGACTCCGATTCTTCCCAGTCGCCGAGGATGGTGTCATGGCGCCCCGAACCCTGCTTCTGCTGCTCTCGGGGGCCCTGGTCCTGACCCAGACCTGGGCAGGTGAGTGCGGGGTCGGGAGGGAAACGGCGTCTGTGGGGAGTAGCTAGGGGCCTGCCCGGCGGGGGCGCAGGAACCCGGTTGCGGTGCCGGGAGGAGGGTCGGGAGGGTCTCAGCCCCCTCCTTGCTCCCAGGCTTCCACTCCTTGAGGTATTTCCACACCACCATGTCCCGGCCCGGCCGCGCGGATCCCCGCTTCCTCTCCGTGGGCGACGTGGACGACACGCAGTGCGTGCGGCTCGACAGCGACGCCACGAGTCCCAGGATGGAGCCGCGGGCGCCGTGGATGGAGCAGGAGGGGCCGGAATATTGGGAAGAGGAGACAGGGACCGCCAAGGCCAAAGCACAGTTTTACCGAGTGAACCTGCGGACCCTGAGCGGCTACTACAACCAGAGTGAGGCCTGTGAGTGACACCGGCCGGGGGCGCAGGTCACTACCCCTCCACATCCCCCACGGACCGCCCGGGTCTCCCCGAGTCTCTGGGTCCGAGATCCACGCCGAGGCAGCGGGACCTGGAGACCCTTGACCCGGGAGAGGCCCAGGAGCCGTTACCCGGTTTCATTTTCAGCCAAAATCCCCGCAGGTTGGTCCTGGCGAGGGCGGGGCTCGGTGGGCGGGGCTGGCCGCGGGGGCGGGGCCAGGGTCTCACACCCATCTAGAGGATGTCTGTCTGCGACGTGGGGTCGGACGGGCGCCTACTCCGCGGGTATCACCAGCTTGCTTACGATGGCAAGGATTACATCGTCCTGAACGAGGACCTGTGCTCCTTGACAGCCGCAGACACGGCGGCTCAGATCACCCAGCTCAAGTGGGAGGCGGCCCGGGGGGCGGAGGTTCATCCTCACAGGGATAGGCACCTATTAGATGTGGTGTGGTTTTCCTCTCTACTCTTAGACCCTCAGCCAGTATCACTATTGGCATTCCTGAGCCACTGGCTCAGAATTTCAGTACATTATCTGCCCGCGGGACACACCTCAGAGGAAAGGGGATGAAGCGTGGTCCATGACCATGGCACCCCCTGGTCTTATCACCACCTGCACCTCCCAGGGGCTGCCAGCCACACAGAGTCATGGACAGGTCTCTACAGACACAACTTAGTGCCAGCTTGGATGAAACCCTCTGAGGAATGGGTGCCATCTTTCAGGATGTGGTGCATGTATTGAATCAAAGATGTCTCTATAGTGCTGTGTTTACAGAAGGAAGAATACGTGGGTCCAAAAACCAAGAAGTAGAAGCAGGTGTGGCTCCATATCTAAACCCTTATATTCACCTTCAGGGTGATTTTGCACTTCTCATCTCCAATATCTGGGCTCTGTAGGGGAGGAGGTCCTGGTTTCCCAAAGGGGGCACCCTGGCAAGGAGACATTTAAATGAGAGTCCATGGAAATACACATTATGGCTGCCCCCAGGGATGTTTGAATAGTATGTGTCCAGATACAAGCAGGTGAGAAGAGGAGGAGGCAGGGCTGCTATCACACAAGGAGGGCAGGAGATGTGTGTGTGGAAATAAGAGATCCACTTGGAGACCTTATGGTTCCCCTTGTCCTGTTGTAAGTGTGAGCAGAATCATCCAGCAACCCAGCCTGAGAGGGTTTCATATTCAAGAGCCCAGAACCCTCAGGAAGGAAGGATTGAGTGATACTCACAGGTAATGTCCCAAGGCTGTGCTCCTGTGCTCTGACATCCTCAGCAGGATTGGTGCAAAGCCCTGCTTCCCATGGGCTGTTCCCAGCCAGTGACTGGTCACAGCAGGCATTAAGGCAAGCCATTCCTGGGAGACACGGGACTCCTCTGATGGCTAACTGTAGCTGGAAGACTCCTCCACGGCCTTGCTCAACTCTCCTTAGATTGCCTGTGCTCTAGGATGCGTCAAACAAACTTTCTCTCCTTCTGTCCAGCACTTGGGGTCACACTTGCATCGTGGTCTGCCGCCTTTTCTCAGGGATTTCTGGCTCACTTCCCATATTCCCTTACGGGTGTGTCCCCTTATAAGATGTCGCAGACTTTAAGCTCATCTTGGCATCTGCTCCTTGAAGGACTTGGACTAAAAATTATTTCCATCTGCATATCAATAACTCTTATTCCAACCTGTAAAATCCTTCTCTTTATCCAACTTCTGCCACCCCCACAGAATCTATTTTACTTGTGTGTGTAGTATCTCTTTGAGTTAACAGATATTTGTTCTATTAAGCTACTAAATTTTGAGGTAGTTTGTGACACAGTACTTGATAACTATTAAGGCTTTCTTAAGTTTCCATTATTCCATGGATATTATCTACATATCTTTTAATCCCTTGCATTTTAATAACTTAGCTATACTTGCTGTTTCCAACTCTTTCCTCCTATTTTTGAACATTTTAAATTTTGTCTTTCTCTGTCCTTCCTTCCTTCTTTCCTCCTTTCCTCCCTCAGAGCTTTCTCCCTCCCTCCATTTTTTTCATAAACTCCAAGTGTTTAGGCCAAAAGGAAGCATTATTTGAACTTTATGCTAAAAGTATAATGCCGTAATTTATAATATAAAAGTAAAGAAAAGGAAGTTGTTAATGGAATATGAAAAAATGCCTAGGGTGATTCTATAGCCAAGACAGTACCTTTTAACATTTAATTTCTGCCTCCAACTGAATGTTTTCAGAACACATGAGCAACACAAGCTCTTTCCCATTCTTGGTACAAGCACTTGAGAAATCAAATTAGCCTTATCTAGTATGATTAATGTCCATACATCATATAATCCCACCATCTGCCTCCTGATCATACCCCCTGGGGACATTCTTGGCTATGTGTCCAGGAGACATGTACACCAATGTTTATGGCAAAAACTGGAAACAATCACATATACATCAATGGGAATTAACAAAATAGTCGTATAATAATAAAAAGTAAAACTTCAGCAGCAACAGTGAATGAACAGCACCCTCCCACATCAGAGATAACTCTCCTACACATAACATGCATCAGCATCACAGAAGAATGCACATTGTGTGAGTTCTCTGTACGGGGAAGTTAAAAAAAGCAGGTCAAACTGTGATTTGGATATATATATATATACTTATTGTAAAAATCTTTAGAGACAATGAAAAGGAATAGTAAATACAAGACTCAAGATAGAAGTTCCTTTTGGGGAATAGAATTGGACAACAGCCGAGGGTGGCTTCATAGGTTTTGTTTTTTATGCCAGGAGGGGATGTCCAGGTAGTTAAGTTACTTGATCATAAATCTTTCTTTCTTTCTTTCTTTCTTTCTTTCTTTCTTTCTTTCTTTCTTTCTTTTTTTTTTTTTTTTTTTTGAGACGGAGTCTCGCTCTGTCGCCCAGGCTGGAGTGCAGTGGCGTGATCTCAGTTCACTGCAACCTCCGCCTCCCAGGTTCAAGCAATTCTCCTACCTCAGCCTCCTGAGTAGCTGGAATTATAGGCATCCACCACGACACCCAGGTAATTTTTGTATTTTTAGTAGAGACGGGGTTTCACCATATTGTCCAGGTTGGTCTCAAACTCCTGACCTCAGGTGATCCGCCAACTTCGGCCTTCCAAAGTGCTGGGATTACAGACATGAGCCACCATTCCCGGCCCACAAATCTTTAAAGTGTCATTTTTCAAAATGCACCTTGTGTGCCATTCCTGACTGATTATTTGGAAATGAAAGAGAAAAGAAAATACCAAAGTTCATCTCAAGGATCCTTAGCAATAACTACACACGTTAAAACAAAGCCACAGCCAATTGTAAAGAGTCATGTGACAGAGAGGACCAGGATCTCATGAAAAATAGCCTTGGCTAGAAAGAGGTCATTTGACCCTGGGCTAATTGGCAACTCTCTACATTGTCTGGCATACAGTGTTCAATCTGATGTGCAAGGCAATTGTATCTTGCAAAGAATTTGAGAATTTGATATGTTGCTCACATTTTACCACACATACAAGTGGATTAAACTTTTACACAGTAAAAAAAAAAAGCATTGTTGAGCAAAATAAATTAAATGAAAAGACATAAAGGAATAACTAGTGATGAAATAGCAATAAGAATGGAAAACATGAAAGAGATGCTTGTACAGCAATGATAGCAGCACAAAAGAACAGTGTTTTTCAGAATCATACGGGAGTCCAAATCACTTCTACCACATCTAATTAAAAAACACAGTGAAAGATGTTAAACTTTCATAGGATGCCCACTGAATAGCCAGTTATTGAAAAATCTTGTTCCTAGATTGGAGTAAACAATTTCTGCCTACCCTAGCCAAACAAATTATTGTCATGATGCTAAGCTAGTGTATAGACAGAGGTGTGAGATTCACATTTTTCTAACTGCAAAGCACCCTGATTAGGCAAATATTTTTGTAGATGCTTGAGTAAGAAAATTGGCATTTTGGGCATTCTTAAACCGAATTAGAAACTTCTGAAGAGAAACAAACGTAGTTATGATTGTAAAGGCATTATTGTATGGCACCAAAGTCTTGGGACACTTTAATTTAGCTACTGTATTTTCTCAACTCTGTTGCAACTTATCAAAGAGAATATTAATATTAAAGGCATTTACAAAAAAAATCTGAGATATTGTTGTATCTTCTTTCTCTGTCTCAAATATTTAATCAACTTTACAGAAGAGAATTTTAAAGTATTAAAAAAAGTCAGATACAAGAAGTATTTGATTTACAAAACCCTGAAACAATAATGTTAATTTTGCTTTTAACATGTTTATAAATTCTTTGATACTCCTCCTTTCCAGAAGTGCAGCTTCATTCCCTCCCTGTTCGTGTGGCCTGGACTTAATGACTCACTTCTAACTGATAGAGTAATGCTGACATAATAGTTTGTGATTCTGGGTGTAGAACATAAGACTCACTGAAGTTTCTACTTTGGTTCTTTCTTTCTCTGGAATCATGAGCCCTGGGGGAAGCTGGCTGTTGTGTCATAAGGAGGCCTGTGGTCCATGTGACTAGGAAGTGAGTCCTCCTGGGACCAGACAATAAGAAGCTAAAGCCTCTTCCAAAAGCCATGTGAGAGATTCTTGTGTCTTGTGAATCCCCAGCCCCATTTGAGCCCTCAGATGATTCAGCCCTGGAAGACAACTAGACTGCAACGTTGTGAGAGGCCCTGAGCCAGAAGCATTCAGAGAAACTTCTCCTGGATTCCTGACCATGGATAACTGTGGGAGATGATAAATATTTGTTGATTTGAGCTGCTAAGTTGTAGGTGACTTGTTATGCAGCAGTAGATAACTAATACAGCTTCACAAGAGAGGATGAATCACTGAACTTTTTCATTTGCTCTAAATTCATTATAAGATATTAAACATGTCATTTGCTTTTAATATTTAATAAAAATTTCCATGGCTATATAAGATATATTTTATTATCATTAACAATGATCTATTTTTTGATCTTCAACTTGTATGTTCTATTTAAACATGAAAGGAAGATCCAGGCTAGCTAGGCTGATTCTATGATGACACCCCAATAACCACCCTTGGTTTCTCAGGTTACCCCAGTTACTCAGTTGACACTAAAGCAGGTGCTGCTGTGAAGAGGTTTTGCAGATATATTTAAAGTCCCCAGTCAGTTGACTTTAAGATGAGGATTATCCTGCTTAGACGGTCCTAATCAGGTAAGCTCTGAAAAGGACTGGGTTCTTCCTGAGAATAGAGACTCACAGTGTGAGAGGGATTCAGCGTGAGGGGCTTCCTCCACTTTGGGCTTTGAAAATGGAGGGATCATGGGGAAAGAACACTGGTGGCCAATAGGAATTAGAAGCCCTCCCCACTGTCTACTCTGATAGCCTGAAGGAAACAGGGACCTTAATCCTACAATTGCCAGAAACCGAATTCTGCCAACAAACTCTACATAAGCTTGGGGGAGAACCCCAATCTTAAGATGAGGATACAGCTTTGCGAAACTCTGAACAAAGAGTCTATCACATTAGGCCTGGATTTCTGATGAAGGAAATGTAGACAAATAAATGGGTGCTGTTTTCAGCCACTAAGTTTGTGGTAATTGGTTATGTACTGCCAGGAAATAAATAAACAGATTCAAAGGATAAGTATATGACATTTTCTCCACCGGAATGAATTCATGAACTGATATGCATAGTAGTTGCATAAAACCAAATATTTCCTAACTTGCTTTGCATTTTCCATTTCATGATTTTTGTGTGATACAATTTTGAACACAATTATATTTCATTCATTCATTCAACAAAAATTAACTTAGTGCCTACTATGTGGCAGATATACTTTTATATTCTGTAGATACAACTTTGATCAAAACAACCCAAAGCCCCTGTGCTTGTGCCTTCCATTCTAGAGGCTTCTTGAGAGTAAGATGGAGCCATTAGAGGCTTTTAAGTGAAGAAATGACACAATCTGACTCACATTAGCAGGATTGCTGACCTTTGTGGGGAGAACAGTCATGGGCAGCAGGCAAGGGACAGAGCTAGGGACACAATTCAGTAGTGACAGAGTAGTAGAGACTAAGGGGAGAGGAGGGCCTGAAGGATGACAGGGACAGAGAGAAGGGCTGGAGAAGCAGGAGGTGAGGTAAAGGAACAGAGAGAAAGAATTCTAAAGCAATGGAATTCTCAGACTTAAATACAGTGTTTTATAGATTTTTAATGCATTTATCCGCAAAGCCTGGCACAGTGTTACTTGCACCTTGGTCTTTAATGCATTCTGTGGGGCTGTCTAAAAGCTAATTGCCTCTCTAAGATAAAAAGGTTAAAAAAGGCCGGGCGCGGTGGCTCACGCCTGTAATCCCAGCACTTTGGGAGGCCGAGGCGCGTGGATCACAAGGTCAGGAGATCGAGACCATCCTAGCTAACATGGTGAAACCCCGTCTCTAATAAAAAATTACAAAAAAATTAGCCGGGCGTGGTGGCGGTCGCCTGTAGTTCCAGCTACTTGGGAGGCTGAGGCAGGAGAACGGCGTGAACCCGGGAGGCGGTGCTTGCAGTGAGCGAGATTGCACCACTGCACTCCAGCCTGGGCGACAGAGCGAGACTCCGTCTCAAAAAAAAAAAAAAAGGTTAAAAAAGAATACCAAATGTCTCAATAAAATATACACATAGCTTAGATGTGAATAATTCATAATAATAGGCAAGTGCATGGGCCGGCCATTATAGCTCATGCCTGTAATACCAGCATTTTGGGAGGCTGAGGCGGGAGGATTGCTTGAGCCCAGGAGTTCAAGACCAGCCAGAGCAATTTAGGGAGACCTCATCTCTACAAATATTATTTTTAGAAAAATTAGCCAGGAGTGGTGGCACAAGCCTGTGGTGCCAGCTACTTGGGAGGCTGAGGGAGGAGCATTGATCACATGAGCCAAGGAGGTCGAGGCTTCAGTGAGTCATGAGCGTGCCACTGCACTTTAGCCAGGGTAACAGAGTGACGCCCTGTCTGTAAATAAATAAAAAATAAAAAAATTAATAATAAAGGGAGTGCATGAGCACTGGCGAAGGGCACTTTGGCTGCATTAAGCACTTGCAATTCTGAGGTAATTAAATTCTGTACAGGCTCCTGGTTGCAATATACGGTAATACATTGTGCTTTGTATTGAGATGTCCTGGACTCGCACACACAAACTCAGAGCTATGAAATAAAGATACTGTAAAAATACAACAGACCAGAGTCACAGATACACAGTCTGGGAAAGTAAAACTTCACTTTGTGAGTCTAATTGCAATGCGTTTAGACATATTTATATATAATGGGGCCAAAAATCATCTCTTTTACAAATTAGATTCGTGACCATTCAGGGGCTACCAAGATTGTGCTACCCACTGTAGCACAATCGGAGACCCACGCCGAGGCTGCGGGACTCGTGGAGACCCTCGACACAAGAACCCCAGGTGCCTATACCCGATTCCATTTTCAGTTCAGGCCCAAATCCCCGGGGGATTGATCGGGGCAGAGGAGGAGCTCAGTGGCTGAGGCTGACCGCGGGCTTGGGGACAGGGTCTCCCACCTCCAGTGGATACACAGCTGCGACCTGGACCCGGACCGGAGCCTCTTCGCGCGGGGATGAACATACCCTACGATGGCGCCAGTTACCTCGTCCTAAACCAGGAACTGCTCTCTTGGACCGCAGCGGAAAAGGCGGCTCAGATGTTCTGGAGGAGGAACATGCAGAGCTGCTCAAAACCTACCTGCCGGGAAGGTGGGCGGAGTGGCTCAGCAAAGGCCTTAAGAATGAGAAGGAGAGGCTGCAATGCGCAGGTACCAGAGGCCACGGGTCGCCTCCCTGATCTCCTGCAGATATCCCTGAGCCACCTTCCAAAAGAAGGGGAGGAAAATGGGACCAACGCTAAAATATCCCTCTCCCTCTTGTCCTGAGGCAGAAGAGTCCTCCTGGGTTTCTAAATCCTATACCAGAGAGTGACTGAGGGCCCGCCCTGCACTCTGGGACAATTAACGGATGAAGTCTCTGCGGGAAAGGAGGGGAAGACAATCCCTGGAATACTGATACGCGGTCCCCTTTGACCCCCCAGCAGCCTTGGGCACCAGGAATTTTCCTCTCAGGCCTTGTTCTCTGCCTCATACTCAATGTGTGTGGGGGTCTGATTCCAGCTCTTCTGAGTCCCTCGGCCTCCACTCAGGTCAGGACCAGAAATCTCTGTTTCCGCCTCAGACACTAGAACTTTCCAAGGAATAAGAGATTATCCCAGGTGCCTGTGTCCAGAATGTTGTCTGGGTTCTGTGCTCCCTTCCCCACCCCAGATGTCCCATCCATTCTCAGGATGGTCACATGGGTGCTGTGTCTCATGAGGAATGCAAAGTGCCTGAATTTTCTACCTCTTGCCCTCAGATCCCCTGAAGGCACAGGTAACCCTCCACCCCATCTCCAACTATGAGGCCACGCTGAGGTGCTGGGCCCTGGGCTTCTACCCTCTGGAGATCACACTGACCCAGGAGCGGGATGGGGAGGACCAAATTCAGGATGCAGAGTTTGTGGAGACCAGACTTGCAGGGTACAGAACCTTCCAGAAGTGGGCAGCTGCAGTGGTGTCTTCTGGAGAGAAGCAGAGGTACACATGCCATGTGCAGCACGAGGGGTTGCCTGAGCCCCTCACACTAAGATGGGGTAAGGAGACGAATGAGGGGTCATGTCTCTTCTCAGGCAAAGCAGAAGTCCTTCTGGAGCCTTTAAGCAGGGTCAGGGCTGAGGCCTGGGGGTCAGGGCCCCTCACGTTCACCTCCTTTCTTAGAGCTGTCTTCCCAGCCCATCATCCCCGTTGTGGGCATCATTGCTGGCCTGGTTCTTCTAGTTGCTGTAATCACTGTAGCTGTGGTCGCTGCTGTGATGTGGAGGAATAAGATCCCAGGTAGGAAAGGGGTGAGCTCTGAGTTTCCTTCTTCCATTGGTGGATTTCAAGCCCCAGGTAGGAGTAGGCTCATATCTTGCCTAGTTGTGAGGCACCATCTCCACACACATTTACCCTGTTCAGAGGCCCTGTCTATCAACGCTTACTCTTTTGTAAAGCACTTGTGAAAATGAAGGACAAATTTATCACCTTGATTGTGGTCATGGGAACCTGACTCCCAGCAGTCACAGGTCAGGGGAAGGTCCCTGCTGAGGACAGACCTCAGGAGGACAATTGGTCCAGCCTCAACACATCCTCTTCCCTTGGGTTTTCTGATCCTGACCTGGGTCTGTAGTCACAGTTCTGGAAACTCCTCTAGGATCTCATGCCCTGCCTCCTCCCTGGCCTCTCACAGTTTGTTTTCTTTCCACAGATGGAAAAGGAGGCAGTTATGCTCAGGCTTCATGTAAGTGTGGTAGGGGTGGGAAGAGTGATCCCTGAGATCCTTGGGATAGTGTAGACAGGAGCCCATGGGGGAGCTCAGCCACCCCAAAATTCCTCCTTTAGTCACATCACCTGTGGGCTCTGACCAGATTTTGTTTTTGTTCCACCCCAAACAGGAACAGTACCCAGGGCTCTGATGTGTCTCTCAAGGCTTGTAAAAGTGACACCTTAGAGGGCCTGAAGTGAAAGAGGAGTTGGGCAGAGGGGACACAACTAAGCTCTGGAGATTCTTTGATTTGGAATTTTTCAAGGTGTGGTGGGCTGTTCAGTGTCACAACTTACTGTGACTGACCTGGATTAGTTTATGACTATGTTTTTTCTAAGATTGCCTTGTGAGGGACTGAGATGCAAGATTTGTTCATGCCTCCTCTTTGTGACATTAAGAGCCTCTGGCTTCTCTTTCTGCCAAAGGGTCTGAATGTGTCTATGTCTACAGTAACAGGTAAGAAATGGGAGACCAGCCCATCCTCATGTCCACCATGACCCCTGATATTGTTTGGATCTGTGTCCCCACCCAAATCTCATGTTCAATTGTAATCCCTAATTTTGGAGGTGGTGTCTGGTGGCAGGTGATCGGCTCATGAGGATGGATCCTTCATGAACGGTTTAGAACCATCTCTTTGGTGCTATTCTTGTGATAATTCTCATAAGATCTGGTGTTTAAAAATCTGTGTCACCTCCCTGCTCTCTCTCCCTCCTGCTCCAGGCATGTAAGTAATGTCTGCTTCCCCTTAGCCTTCCAGCATAATCGAAAGTTCCCTGAGGCCCTCTCATAAGATGAGCAGATGCCAGAATCATACTTTCTGTATAGCCTGCAGAACCATGACCCAATTTAAACCTCTTTTCTGTTTTTGTTTTGTTTTTGTTTTTTGAAGGAAAATTTATATTATTTTAATTATTTTTACATACAGAAAACTCAACAGCATACATTTCACCCAATTTAGTGGCATGTTCTTTACCCTTTGCCTTTTTGAGCTTGGCAATGCAAACCACATACTTGAGACCCAGGACACTGTCTCCCCAGTGATGGCGGATCTCATCGTATCTGTCATTGTAATTGGTCCTGAGAACTCCCACCAGCTTAGCCAAAGCACCTTTGTCTTCCGAGTTAACCTGTGTGAAGGTGACAGTGGTGCAGGTCTTCCTATGGACTAGATGTCCCAGTCTTGCCTTCCCTTTGATAATGCAGTAAGGGACCCCATTTTATGACACAGGACAGGCAAGAAGACAACCAGCTTGATGGGATCTACATCATGTGCTATCACCACCAGCTGAGCTTTCTTGTTCTCCACCAAGGTGGTGATGGTGTTAACTCCTGCTCGAAGGACAGGTGGACTCTTAGTGGGGAATGTCCCCTTTGCCAGCAGCTTTCTTCTTGGCCCGGGCCAACAGCCTCTGCTTCTTCTCTTGGTTTGTCTCTGGTCTGTATTGTGGGCCAGCTTAAGCAGCAGAGTAGCTGTTTGGCTGTCTGGTGCCTGGGTGAACTGGTTAATCTCAGGAGGCACTTTCAGCCACTTATAGAGGATGGTTCTCTGCTGCTGCAACCTGATATAGCAGGGCCATTTCACAAAGTGGGTGAGGTCTCTTTTGGGCTGGATATCCTGTCCAGTGCCAAAATTCTTAGGCCTTTTCTCAAACAAGGGATTTACCACTTTCTTGGCCTCCTGCTTCTTCACGACAGCAGGGGCTGGAGCCACCTTCTTCTCCTTGGCCTTCTTTCCTTTTGGCATCTTGGATGGTGGGAGGAGAAAGAAAGAAACCTATTTTCTTTATAAATTACCCAGTCTCAGGTATTTCTTTATAAAAGTGTGAGAATGAACTAATTCAGAAAATCGGTACCAGGAGTTGGGTATTACTATAAAAATTCTTGAAAATGTGGAAACAGCTTTGGAACTGGGTAACAGGCAGAGGTTGGAAGAGTTTGGAGAGTTCAGAAGACAAGAAAATGGGGGAAAATTTGCAACTTCCTAGAGATTTGTTAAGCTGTTGTGACCAAAATGCTGATAGTGATATGGACAATAGAGTCCAGGCTGATAAGGTCTCACATGGAGATGAGGAATTTATTGGGACCTAGAGGAAAGGTCACTTTTGTTATGCATTGGCAAAGAACTTGGAGGCATTGTTCCCCCTCCCTAGGGATCTGTAGAACTTTGAACTTGAGAGTGATGTATAAGGGTATCTGGTGGAAGAAATTTCTAAGCAGCATAGCATTCCAGATTTGGCCTGCCTGCTTGTAATAGCCTATGCACATATGTGTGAGCAAAGACATGACCTGAAACTGGAACTGATATTTAAAGGGGAAATTTAATATCCAGGACAATTCCTAGTGGAGCTGCAGGAACAGGACCCCTGCCAAGACTACTAAATCATAGAGCCACTGGCAATATGCAAGCTCAGCCTGGAAAAGCCATAAGCATTCAATGTTCACCCATGAGAGCAGCTATATGGATTATGTTCACCAAAGCCACGGATATGAGGCTGAAGATGGCATTGTGAGTCCATTGCTTGCACCAGCCAGTGTGCTCAGGGTTCAAGATATAGAGTCAAAGGAGATTATTTTAGAGCTTTAAGTTTTAATGTCTGCCATGATGAGTTTCAACCTTGTGAGGACACTGCATTCATTTCTTTTGGTCCATTTATTTCTTTTGGAATGGAAATGTATAGGAAATGTCTCTACCACTGTTGTATTAATATTTTAGAAGTAAATAACTTTTTTTAATTTTACAGGTGCACAGCTATAAGAACTTACCTTGAGTCTCAGATGAGACTTTGGAATTTAGAGTTGATGCTGGATCAACCCAACACATTTTGGACAATTGGGAGAAGATTATTGTCTTTTGCAATGTGAGAAGAATGTGAGCTTTGGCTGGCTAGGGACAGGATGCAATGATATAAATATTTATCCCCAGATACCTCATGTTAAAATCTGATCCCCAATGTTGGACTTAGGGCCTAATGGGTGGCGTTTGGGTCTTGGGGGCCAATCTTTTATGAACAGAGAGATACTGCCCTCTCTCGGGAGTCAATGAATTGTTGCCCTATTAGTTTCCAAAAGAGCTAGTTGTTAAAAGAGTCTCGCACCTTCCTACTCCCTCTGTTCCTCTCTTACCACGTGACTTTTGCACATACCAGCTCCCCTTTGCCTTCTGCCATGAGTGGAAGCAGCCTGAGGCCCTCGCTAAATGCTCAAACATTTCCAGACATCAGAATCCTGAGCCAAATGAACCTTGTTTATATAAATTAGTCAGTCTCAGACATTTCTTTATAGCAACACAAAACGGAATAAGACAACCCTCTCATCATAGGTATGTGTCTGTGGCAGCCAGCCCCCATTCTCAAGGTATCCAGGATCCACTCAGCCAAGAGTCCTTTCCTCAGTATTCTAAAGACACTCTAATCACTCAAGAGATTCTAAGGTTTTTAGGAGAAACCAGGGACAAAACTAAATGTTTTTGTGATAACTCATATTACCCCCTTTTCTTTGACCACATATTTTTCATACGAAAAGGATTATAACAGTAAAGAAGCATTGGCATATTATCCAAGTCTCATTCGGTCATTCAAAATTAGGCCAGTTTATCATCCTCTTGTATGAATATGTCTCCCAGAATGACATCACTCAGCTTTGCAGACACCATTCAATCTTATCAGGTTCCAAAAACAAGAATGGTCTCAGGGACATACAGCTTCACCCTTTTAGGCATCCAGTATAGTTGACCTAAGAGACAACATCTCTTGCTCACACCACTTTTGAGGAGATAAGCTAATATTGAATTTTCCTCATTACATAACCCTTTGATTTATTCACCTACCCTCAGCCACTATTCCTCCTTCTGTCCCTTTATATCAGTCTTTTCCAGTTCTAGAAGTGACATTAGGTTTGGCTGCTGTGCTGGCCTAGACTGCATGCAGCAATAGTATTCTACCATGTCTTCTCTTAATCTACTCTTGATCATAGACAGTAGGTTACATAGGTTAGGAACTAGTGCAGGCTATCTGACCACCAGTCTACGTAGCTCTACTTACAGTTAATCCCGACTTTGCCAGATGAAATGAAGGCACAGCGCAATCCTTGATTTGCTTGGGAATTCTTACATAAAGGTATAAAAATATAGTTATGGTTTTTTCCTTAGGGATAATTCCTGTTTCTGGCAGTTCGATTTGCATCCCTGTTCCTGGTACCACTGCACCCTGTGTAAAAAAAGAAATAAGAAATGAAGTGTAGTCATTATTCCAGCATCCTCCCCTTAAGAAGAATTGTATGTACAGTCATAACAGCATCACCCTGATCCATCAGGAAAAAGAGAGGAAGCTACCTAGTGGAGTCAGTTTCGCAGCTCCACCCATGTTGACAGTAAGCACATTCATGAAGATATAAAAGCCAGTCCTTCATGTTTATATTGCCCAACAATTATATTGGCAGTTTTTAGACAATTAGACAACCAATGTTTCAACTGACTATTTCTTTTTCTTTTTTTTTTTGAGATGGAGTCTCACTCTGTCGCCCAGGCTGGAGTGCAGTAGTATGATCTCGGCTCATGCAACCTCTGCCTCCCAGGTTCAAGCAATTCTACTGTCTCAGCCTCCCGAGTAGCTGGTAATACAGGCGCCCACCACCACACGCAGCTAATTTTTGTATTTTCAGTAGAGACGGGGTTTCACCATATTGGCCAGGATAGTCTCAAACTCCTAAACTCAGGTGATCCGCCCGCCTCGGCCACCAAAAGTGCTGGGATTACAGGCATGAGCCACCGCGCCTGGTCAGCCATTTCAATATTCTATCAAAGTTTCCCCTGAATAGTACATTTCCCTGTGCACTGTTGGCTTTTTAAGGCTGTAAAGTGTGTTTTCTTGTGTAAAGAAATGTGACTCAACAGTCCAAATTGGTGTAATCTCCATTTTTCTGGTTCTTGTATAGCCTTTGAAGCATTGACATCTACCCCTGGTTGATCATAGCCCAATCCAGAGTCAGTGACTTCCCTGTCAAGATCCATTGGCAGCTCCTTTGGGGTTGCTGGCATTAGTCTGGCTTGCCAGCTATGAATGATCAAAGCTTCCCACTACAGAATCTGTCACAGAGCTGCCTCTGTCTGTTTTCTTGACCAAAAGTCAAAACAGACAGTATGAGAAATGAGATAAATTACCAAAATTGTGAACACAAGAGAGAGTATCACTAATGACCCTTTAGAAGTTAAAAAACATTATAAGTTAATACTCTGAAAAACCTGAAGCCAATCAGTTAGACCACTTAGATAAAATGGACAGATTTATACAAAGATAGAAATTGCTGAAACTGACTCAAAAATAAATAGAAAATCTGAAGAGAACTGTACACTAAGACAGTAATTTTAAAACCTTCTCACAAAGAAATGCCAAAGCCCAGATATCTTCACTGGTGAATTCTATCAAATATTTCAAAAGCTCTTTCAGACAAGAAGAGAGGAGGCAAGACTTTCTAGCTCATTTACAGAACTGACATTACCCTAATATCAAAGTCAGAGCAAGACTGACAAGAAAAGAATACCATAGACCAGTGTCACCAATAAACATAAATGAAAACATCCTTAACAAACATTGGCAGACAATAGAAAGCCACGTAAAAAAGGATTACATTCCATGACCAGTGGGATTCATCCCAGGAATATATGGCTGGATTAACAATTAGAAATCAATTAATGGAATGCACTGTAGTAAGGGAATAAAAGACATAATTATCTCAAAAGATACAGAAGAAACAGTTGACAAAAATGTTAACACCACTCATGTTCATAAGTTTCAACAAAATAGGAATGGAGGGGACCTTCCTCACCCTGATAAAGGGCATCTATAAAAAACCCACAACTAAAATCATGCTTGCTGAAGAAAGACTGAATGCTTTTCTCCTAAGATGGAGATCAATGCAAGGATGTCCCATCCAACACTTCTACTTAACATTGTACTGGAGATTGCAGCTGGTGCAATAAGGCAAATAATTAAAAGTTAAAGGCATCCAGATAAAAAGGAAAACATAAAACTCTATTCACAGATAACATGACCTTGTCTGTAGAATTCACAAGCAGATAAAAGCCTGCTAGCACTAAAAAATGAATCCAGAAGCTCCCATAGGATATAAAATCAAATTAAAAATTATTAACATATTTCTCTATACAAGCAATTAAAATCTAAACTTTCCTATCACAGTAGTTACAAAAAGAGAGAAATAGGAATAAATTTAGGAAGACAGCAGAGTTTGTTGAAAACTACAAAACATTACTGAGAGAAATTAAAGGTCTAAATTCATGGAGAGATGCGGTTGGAAAGCTCAATAATATTGTTAAGATGACAATTCTCCACCAAGAGATCTATAGGTTCAGTACAATCTCTATCAAAACCCCAGCAGGCATTTTATGGAAAATTGACAATTTAATCCTAAAAATGTATGTGAAAATGCAGAGGATGCAGAAAAGCCAACGCAAATTTGAAAAAAAATGGAATGTCATATAAAACTACAATAATCCAGACAGTGTGAAAGCGAGAGACACAGAGATTAATGAACAGAAGTGAGAATCTAGAAAGACATTCTTACATTTTTTTGTCAATTGATCTTCAATGAAGTTGCATAGGTAATATGATGTGACACTTATCGCCATATAAAATATAAGCTCAAACAAATTAGAGACCTAAACAGCTAAAATTTATAAGTTAAAACCATAAAATTTCTAAAAGAAAATATAGGAGAAAATTTTTGTGACATTGAGTAGTTAGGCAAAAGATTCTTACATAAAATACAAAAAACATGATCTACAGATGAAAAAAAAGTGAGAGACAAATTGGGCTTAGTTAAAATTTAAAACTTAAGTGCTCCAAAAGACAATATTGAGAAAATGAGAAGACAAGCCGTAGATTGAGAGAAAATATTTCACAATTTATCACAAATTACATCTGTGATGAAGAACATGTATCCAGAATATGTGAAAAGTTCTTAAACTCAATGTAAGAAGATGAGCAACTCAACTAAAAATGAGCAAAACATGCTCAACTGACTTTTACAAAAGCACAAAAGCAATTCAATGAAGGAAGGAGAGCTTTCCCATCAAATGGTGATGGAACAACTGGACAACCACAGTGGAAAAAAAATAACCTGAGCCAAAACCTCATGCTTCATACAAAAATAACTCAAAATGAGTCACAAGCTTTCATGTAAAGCACAGAGTTAAAATGGCAAACATTGAGCCAGGTGTGGTATCACAGGCCTGTACTCTCAGCTACTCAGGAAGCTGAGGTGGGAGGATCCCTTGAGCCCAGGAGTTCAAGGCCAGCCTAGGCAAGAATTTTTTTTCTAAAATAAATAATAAATTTAAATTTTTAAATTACAAACCTTTTAAGAAAAAGTCATCAGAGCTAAGACTGGACAAAGAGTTCTTAGACATAACACCAAAAGTATGATCCATAAAAGTTAATAAATTGGATCTTATCAACACTAAAAACTGTTGTTCTGTGAGAGACCTATGAAGAGCATAAAAAGACAAGCTACAGAATGAGAGAAGATATTTGCAGGCAACATATTCTGTAAAGACTGTATTCAGAATATATGAAGAAATTTTAAAACTCAACAATAAAAATGAAATCCAAATACAAAACAGGCAATGAGCAAGACACGAACAGACAAATTTCACTGAAGAGGATAAATACTGGGCTAATAAGCAGATGAATAGGTGCTCAACATCATTATCCAGTAGGAAAATACAAATTAAAACCACAGTGATGAGAATGGCTGAAATACAAAATAAAGGTAGCAACAGATGCTGGCAAGGACGCAGAGGAACTGGGACACTCTTATATTGCTGGTAGGGATGTATTTTAAAATGGTACAGCCGCTCTGGAAATGAGTATTGCAGTTTTCTTCAAACCGAACATGCAATTTACCTTATGACTAGCAATTGCCCTCCTAGGCACTTATTTCAAACGAGGGAATACTTTATGTTCACGAAAATCCTGTGCACAAATACTCTTGCAGCTTTATTCATGATACCCCCAAACAGGAATTAATACAACTGTCTTTCCGTAGGTGAGTGAGATCTGCTGGTTGAAATAATAACTGAGTCACACAAGTGCCCTTTCTCAAGGCTACCATCCTGCTTCTCTGTGCAGTAAGTGTTTTATGCATATTTCCCATTTTCTCACAAAGAATATTAAACACGTATACTCAAGGATCAAACTTTAACCCACATAAATTTTTTACTGCTCCATCAAAGACACTCTTAAATGGGACTGCAGTTTGGAGCCACTGCCTGGTTCTGCTAAGGTGCTGGGTGTGTTACCGACCTTGGCATTTGCAGCACTATGGAAAAGTCAACACAATGAAACAGGCAGATGGCATCTTGGTATTACTGTGAAAACAAGTCTGCCTCCAGGACTCTCTGAAGGCTGCTCAGGGGACACACTTTCAAAATGGCAAAGATCAATTATGGTTCCTAGTGGGACACAACCCCTAGCCTATTCCTATTCAGCACTGTCTTGCTCTCTATTTTCCCTCATTCTTCCAACTTATAACTGTATAAATTTTCAAATGTGCAAAGAAGCTGAAAGAATGGTGCAGTAAAATTCAAGCTACCACTCTGCCGTATTTGGTTAATATCTCTTTATATACATAAAAGGAGAGTGTGAAATGATGGACCATGGAGACCCAGAAGGGTAAGGGGGTTGGCAGTTGGTGTATAATAGAGGGGTTTCTTGATAGGTACAATGTGCTTGTCTCCAGTGCTGGATGCTCTGAAGGCCCTGACTTTACCACAACCAATATAGCAATGTAGCAAAATTGCACTTGTGCCTCATGAATATATATGAATCTAAGAAATAAAAAATAAAATAACATAACATGTTTCTTTATAGATACAGGTAGACATGTTTGTATAGCATGTGTGTGAATGTGTGTGTGTGCCTGTGTGTGTGTGTCCACCTGTGTGTGTGTTTCCGTGTAGAGAGGCAGCACAAATTAAGAGATTAAGATTTTGTGACTGAGCTATTCCAAAGTAACTTAAACATAAAACACACATGGATAAATGTGTCTGTGACAACAAACCTGAATACAAACATGAAATAATATGTCTATAAACACATCTCTAGATAGATAGCTTATGAATGAATACCCTACCCCAGCTCCCTTACTGGTTGCCCTGTGAACACAGGGAGTCAGGGAACAGGACCCAGCTAGGGTCCCTCATCCTTCTCTTGCATCCAGGCAGGTCCTGCATCCACTCTGGCTGCACAGAAGGCTCCCATCCCTGCCTTGGTCTGTTTCACAGGTGCTCCCCTAACTCTCTCTGCCACCACTGCTTTATCTGGATGGAGCTGAGGCTGCCCTGACCAAGAACAGCACCACCCATCTGTGTCCCCAAGACCAGGAAGTTAGGAGGAACCACACAACAAGGTCAGGAACTATCCCACCTCCCCAATCAGTCTGAACTGATGGCGGGAGATGCTGATGCTTGCTTTACTCATCCTCAATCCCAGCTCACTTATTCTTCATTAATTCAATCCAATCTCCCCAGCAGTCACTTCACCCCAGAAGCTGACTGACCTCTACTCTTCGTAATCAGGAAACCACAAAGCACTCTCCGTCCCCTCCCTGATATCACCCTTCAGCTCTACATCATCATATGTGGGCTCTAACTCTGCAGGGAAGATGTTGCCCCACAGGGTCAGCCCCTGAACACTGGCTGCAAATGTCCCCCCATCCCTTCCCAGCCCTTTCGGTGTTGCTGTGAATCTGTCCCTCACTGAGAACTGGCGGGGAGATGTGGGGGAGGAGGGAAGGTTTCTTTATGCTGTGTCAAAGCATGGAGACAGACCTCTCCTTCTCTCCTGAACCTCACACTATCCCTTCCCAGACACTTGAAATAAAACGCAGACCAGAAATGTCTATTTAAGAGTTAAATATCTATAGTATAAAATATGAAGACAGAGTAGAATGGGGTAATGCAGGAGAGCATGACAGAGATGACAGGACCTCAAGGTGCCAGGAAAGCTGGTGCTGGGCCAGGACCAAGGAGCCATCAGCAGGACACTCACTCATAATGCTCACCTATAATAATACAATTACTGCATATGTAATATATCAAAATATAATAAAATAACAAAATAACAAAAATAATATGGCACAGCTGCAAATACCCCATATATACTAACCCTTTTCATTCATCCAACCACAAGAAATAAATGCTCGTAGTTTCCCCATGTCATAGATGAGGAAAATGAGGCACAAAGAGAGAACATGCTGGTGAGGCCTAGGCAAGGAGTTGAATCCAGATCGCCTGGCTGCAGAGTCTAGTTGCCCTCAGTGGAGCCAGCGAACCCAGGAGCTGACACCAGAGACTGAGATCTCAGCTGTGCACTGCCCTGGTGGTCTCCTGTCCCAACCAGGTGTTGACCCAGGCCTTGCAGGCTCACGCGCTCTGGAAAAAAGAGAGAAACCAATAAATGCTCCCCTGGGTGCAGAGTGCTGCTTTTTATTCCCTGAGGAGTTCTCCCTCCTCAGTCACTCCCAAATCAGATTTACCCTTTCTCTGACGGAAGATGACGTCCCCACTTTTTTCTCCCTCCCATCGCACTTTTCCAGCCCCTGCCAGTCCCCTCCCGTGACTCCATCAACATCAGCACCTGCCCTGTGTCCACCATCCATTGTGCAGTGAGTGAAAGGACCCAGGACTAAGGAACAAGACCCAAGAGGAAACTCAGTGCCCTTTCCTCCTCCTCTCAAGCCTGACCAGCCCTGACACAGTGAGAGGCCTCCCCAAAGAGAGGCCCTGGCCCTGTCTCCATGTCCTTCCAGGTCTGGGCCAAGTCACACACAGTCCTTCTCTTCCTGAGACCCCAGGCCCTCTTCACCTGCAGAGGCACCTGCATACCAGGGCAGGCCCTGCACACTGTGGGTTCTGCCCTCCACCAGCAGCTCACTGTTCCTCCCCTCCCAGCTCTGAGCAGACAGCTCCTAACAAGAGATCCTATCAGGAAGCCCTGGGGCTCACAGGCCCGGCATGGAAATATGTGGCTGCCATGGAGTCTGCACCTGACCTGATGCTGGGGACCCCCTTGCTCAAGGAGGCCCAGCCTGCCCTCCCCATAACCTGCATTTGGGCTGTGCTTGCTCCTGCCTGTCCACTCAACCCTGGAAATGCAGCTCCACCCCAGGGCTGCTGCTTGGTGAGGCTGCAAGCCCTTCCTGTCCCATTCCTAACAGGGATTCCACCCAGGCCACTGCCATCGCAGCTCACAGGGGATCTTCTTCGCCTGTGGAGTAGGGGGTTTCTTCAGACCCCTCATCCTGAGGCTGCCTCTACGCACCCTCTGCACCTGGGGATTGCCACTGCCACAGGCACTGTCTCCCACATGGACCCTCTGAGAAACGAAGCCCCAAATTTGACTTCCTGTTCTATTCAACATCCTTTACAACATCAGTATTGGGGGAAATCCTATTAAGATTATCCAGCTGAAATTATGTTGATGGACACCAATACTTAAAGCAGGAATTTTGAGAAACTAACATGTAATTTTCATGCCTTTTTCTGGCCAATGTCCCAGTGACCTACGAGAAAACCTTTCCTGCCTACAGGGAACCAGAACTGACAATCCCTCTATAGGAGACACCGCAGGTGAGAGCAGGAGCAACCACAGACCTGCACTGCCCGTGCTGTGGTTGCCTCCTGGACGGGGCCCTCTTGCTGCAGGGCAGGGGATGAACCGTCCCATCTGCCCAGGCCTGAGTGGCCAACTAACTGTGCAATTAGGTTCAAGGATGAGTCACCACCACCTCACTGGCCAGACACACGGAAGTGGAGAAATGGCAGAAAGACTCGGGTTTCCTGGACACCCCAGACTCTCACTGTCCCCTGCACTGCCTCTGTCTTTGCAGAAACTCAAAACTTTCTGCTTGCTCTTTTCCTCTCCCCTCAAACAACCTGACTGTGGGGGAAATGATTCTGACTGTCTCTTATTGTAAACTTACCAGGCAGCGACTACACTAAGAACAAAAACATTGGCTCAGGAAAGGCAAGGTGAGGCCACAGAGCACAGAACAAAGCCCAAAAAACAGCCCACTGGGTACTATGACCCTCGGGGGCTGGAAAAAGTAACACCTGGACATGGGATGAAAACAGGGACCACAGCTGCCCTGACAGAGGGCTGGTCCCCACTCCCCAAATAGCCCAGGGACATCTGCTTATCAACTGGTCCATATTATCTGCAAGGAAACACAGGGAGACAGGGGCCATATGGTGGGAACCCAGAAAAAGCACGGTCTCGAGGGACCCAGAGGACGTGACACCCCTGAGACAGCTCCCAGATGAGGCATATGGGGAGCTGCAAAGTGGACAGAGGATGGCCATGTGCACTCAGGACTCTCCCTGTTACAAGGGGACCTCAAAGGGGCTGTACACATGGGGGCCCTCATTCTGGGCCTCGTGGGTCTTTTTCTTGATGTCCTCCTGATGGCTGGAGAAACAGGGGAGGGGGATGCAGAGAGGAAGGGACTAGAGGCACCACCTCTCCTTGGATTCCTCTCCAGTTTCTAGCCCTCCCTAGATCACATCTGCCTTTACTATTTGCTCCCTCTGAGATAGTGATCATCCAGGCCCTCAGCAATCAGCACGCAATTCCCAACTCACCCACCTGGATGCGACCTGGTAAGCCTGAGAGACAGAGACCGGGATGGGGACAAAGCAGGCACCACGGCCCTCCCTGCTGCCCACTCCTCACCTGCAGCAGGAGGAGGCCACAGCTGGATGTTCGAGGGCCTTGGCCCAGCCCTGGCTTGGGCAGGACTTAAGGGTGTAAAAAATAACCTACATGTGATGGTTCATTTTCAATTCTATGTGCCTTAGTATAGGTTTAAGCAGGCCACATGGTCATAAAGAGATAAAGAAGGAAAATGTACTAAGCCACCATCCCCCCTACTTCTTGCTTTCCCTTTCATGCACTGGCCAGGCACCTATCGGTTGGGGCCCCCTCAACGACCCCTTCCCCACCTCACCAAAAAATGTAGTTTAGGCTAGCTTGCAACATAGATAATTGTACCCTTTCTTATCAACTAAGTGCAGCCATTAGGGACATAAGTCAAATGTTTAAAGAGTCCTGAGACAATCACAATGCATTATGGGCTGCAACAAAATGCAGCAAAAAAAAAAAAAAAACCCTAAGGAACATACTTGAAGTCTTAAACTACCAATAGGTGACATCCGGGAAGATCGTAAGTCCTTGGTACTCAGCTAATGAGCAACTGGGGGAGGGAGTTGCGCACTAGGGAATAAATTGTTGAAACTCTCCCTGGTGTGCCTGCATTCCAGACACCCAATATTGCAAAACCGTCACTAACACTCTCACTTTTGCTGTTCTCTGGGTCTCAGAGTCCATTCTTTGGGTTTGGATGGGTGCGTTTGTTTCTCATAATCTAGTTGCCTATATGGGGATCTCTGTGCTTGTGTGAAGTGAGTGAGACTCTGCCTGAAAGGAGAAACACGTACCAATTGATTCATGTGGCCCATTCTATCTGGATGTCCTGGCTCCTCGCAGAAGCCATAGACAAACTTGAAACTGTTATTCAGGACACAATGAAAGTGACATGGGGGTACGGGAGGGTGGGGTGGAAAGCGGGCACCACAGCAACCAGGCAACCTCATGTGTCTTGTGGAAGGCACTGAAAGTACTGTGGGGGTCACATCACCATGAGAGAGCTGAAGGATGTGGGGTGGTGTTGGGGCTGTCTATCGTCTCTACGTAATCCAGCAAACTGTCCCTGAGGGAGCCTGATGATGCCTAAAGAATGAATGAGATTACTCTAGGTATGGCCAAGTAGGAGTTATAATTGCAGCTTTTATGTTGTCTGGATATCACTGGTAGAGCAGATTAATAAATCCTTGGGCCCACAGTGTGCAGCTGCAGACTTGGTGAGTGCATTCCTTTCCACTCCAATTAGAAAGGGGATATGGAATGATTCACATTCATGTGGGATCCACAACACATTTATTTATCATTTGCCTCAGGGCTATTGTAACTCCTCTGCCCGCTATAGTATATAGTCTTAAGACTACACTAGACATACTGGATATCCTATAGGATATTAAATCAGCTCATTTCATTGACAATTTCATGTTTACTGGGGTGGATGAGCAGCAGGTAGAAACTGCACTGGAGTCCTTGGCAAAACAAGCACACTCCAGAAGGTGAAGGTAAACCTTACAGAGCTTCAAGAGTGGCCACTGAAGTGAAGTTTTATGGGTGAACAAGTGCCAAGTGTTTAGGGGAATGCAGGTGTGTCCCCTCCAAGGTAAAAGACAAACTGTTTCATCTTGCATCCTCACCAGAAGGAAGGAAGCACACTGCCTGATGAGCCTCTTTGAGTTCTGATGACACCACATTCCACATTTAGGTGTGTTGCTTTGGCCCACACTCTAGGTGACATAGGAGGAGGCCACCTTCATGTGGGGCCCACACGGGAAAGGACCTTGCAGCAGATCCAGGCCATGGTACAAGCAGCCAGCATCCCTCAGACCCCTTGGGGCTGGTGGTGCCAGTGGTGGGGAAAGATGCAGGATGGAGCTGAACCAAGCACCAGTGGGAGAGTCACAATGAAGGGCCTGGGATTCTGGAGTAAGATCATGTCATCCACAGCAGAGACATATGCTCCCTGTTAGAAGCAACATTTAGTGTTACTTGTCCTGATTTGATAGAATGCTTGACCATGGGACACCAAACAACAATGTGGTTCCAAGTGGCTGTGTGACCCACAAAGTCATAAATTGCACAGGCCCAACAGCATTCATCAACAGGTGAAAATGGTCCACCTGGGTTGAGCTTGAATCCCTTGCTGACACCCACAGAAAACACCCAAGTCTGAAGTGGCACTGAACTACCAAACAGACAAATGGCAGTTAGCCAGCCTTCACCATGGGTCAGCCCAGGCCTGGTAGGATGGGTGCATGAATGGAGCAACCACAGTGGCAGGCATGAGGCTATGTATGAGGCCAGCAGCACTGACTCTCCCAGCCCTACCAAGGTAGATCCAGCTACTGCCACTCCTGAATGTCAACTCATCAGCATTTGGAGCCCATGATGTGCCCTAGTGGGGCGCTATTTCTTTAGGCGACCAGCCACTAAGTAACAAGTGACTACATTTAGCTACTTCCATCCTGGAAGGGCCAGAGGTTCATCTTCACAGAAATAGGCCCATATTCCATGGGTGGGTTTTCCTGTCTTGCTCTGACACTCAGCCAGCACCACTCTCCGGGTGCTGTTGACATTCCTGATCTGCAGGCTAGGCGGTGCTCCTAGCCCATTCTCTGCCTGAAGGACCCATTTGGCCTGGAAAGTTTTAAAGTTTCCATGGCTGTGGGTTCCACTAATCCTATCACCATCTGCACCACCCAGGAGCTACCAGCCACAAGGAATGCTGGACAGGTCTTCTATAGGCACAACTCAGTGCCAGCCTGGAGGAAGCACTCTGAAAGTGCCATCTTTCAGAACATGGTACATTGTTTGAATCAGAGATGTCTCTATGGTGCTGTGTTCTCAATGGAAGAACATGTAGGTCCAGAAATCAAAAGGTGGAAGCAGGTATGGCTCCATGTCCAATCTCTTAGATTCACCCACTAAGGTATTTTGCCTTTTTTATCTCCCAACAATGGGCTGTGCGGGTTAGGAGGTCCTGGTTTCCAAAGGAGGGTACCCTTAAAAGTAGACAAAAGAGAGCCCATTGAACTACACATTACTTTAGTCACCAGAGAAGTTTGGAGAGCATGTTCCCAGAGACCACATCGTGAGAAGAGGAGTGTCCTTCTCTCCAGGCCCAGGTAATAGGCCCTCATCCCCAGGAGGAGGCATGGCTGCTTTCACACAATGAGGGCAGAAGTGTGTGTGGAAACCAGACATCCACCTGGGAACCTTCTGGGTCCCCTTGCCCCATTGTAAGTGTGAGCAGAATCATCCAGCAATTTAGCCTGAGAGGATTTGATTTCCAAGAACCCAGACCCATCTGGGCAGCAGGTTTGAGTCACACTCCTGGGTAATCTCCCAAGGCCCTGCTCCTGTGCTCTGACATCCTCAGTAGCATTGGTATGGAGGCCCTGCTTCCCATGGGCTGTTCCCAGTCAGTGATGGCTCACACCAGTGACACTAAGGCAGGACATTCCTGGGAGACAGGGGACTCCTCTGATGGCCAATGGTGGCTCCGGGTCTCCTCCATGGCCTTGCTCAACTCTCCTTAGATTGCCTGTGGTCTAGGAAACATCCAGTAAACCTTCTCTCCTTCTGTCCATCACTGGGGGTCACACTTGCATCTCGGCCTGTTGCCTTTCCCAGGGTAACCTGACTCCCTCACAATATCGTCTGACAGGTATGTCCCCTAATAAAATGCTGTAACTTTAACCCCATGATGGCACTTGCTTTTTGGAGGATTTGGACTACAAAATCATTTTCATCTACACACCAGTGTCCTCTTATTCCAATTTGTAAAATCCTTTTGTTTATTCAACTTCTTCTACTTGCGTTGGCTCCATTTTGCTGGTATTTGTATTATGTTTTTGAGTTCGTCAATGTTTGTTGATTTAATCACTAAATTTGGGGGTAGTTTGTTATGCAGCAATGGATAACTAATGAAGCCCTCTTACATTTCCATTATTCTATACAGGTTACGTACATCTGCTTTATTTCCTTCCATTTTCATAATATTGGCCATACGTAGGGTTTCTAGTTTCTCAACGTGTATTCTTTTCTTTATTTTAGTTTCTTTTCTTTTTTGTTCCTTCCCTTTCTCCTTCCTTCTGTCCCTCCCTCCCTCTCTTTCTTCTCTATTTCCATTCAACCTCTCGCCTTCCCTCCTTTTTACTCTGCTTTCCTTCCCTTTTCTTCCCCTTCCCCTTCCTTCTTTTCTTCTTTCACTCCTTCTTCTCTTCCTCCTTCTTTCCCTCCCTTCCTCCATTTTTTCCTTTTTATTATGAAAATTTCCTAACATATAAAATAACCCTATGTGATTGTGCTATAAGTAAGCATTTTCTGAATCTGTATGTCAAAAGTACAATGCCACGGTATATGAGAAACAAGTAAACAACAGAAAGTTATTGACAGAATCTAAATAAAAATGCCTGCTATAATTCTGCAGCCAAGACAGCGGCTTTCAACTCAATTCCTTCAACTCAATGTTTTCAGAACACATCATCAACATCAAGTATTACGCACTTATTTCAAAAGTTTAAGCCAGGCGTGGTGGTTCACGCCTGTAATCCCAGCACTTTGGGAGGCTGAGGTGGGTGGACCACCTGAGGTCAGGAGTTCAAGACCAGTCTGGCTAACATGGTAAAACCCCATTGTCGCAATCGGTTACTATGGGATATAATGAAGGGGGATGAACACAGAAATAAAGACAAAGACAAAAAGATCTGTTCTAAAAGAAGGGGTCGGGGGCTTCTTGCTTCTAGTGATTCCTTCTGGCAGCAAACTCAGTTTGTCAGTTTGCCAACATCCTGCTTTCATGAGAACAGTTTGCTGTTTGCTCATATAGCCTCCAGTGGTATACTGAGTTGATCACGACCCTCATTCTTTCGGCCTCCAATACCCCGACTCTACTAAAAATACAAAAATTAGCTGGGCGTGGTGGTGCATGCCTGTAATCCCAACTACTCGGGAGGCTGAGGCAGGAGAATTGCTTGAACTGGGAGGTGGAAGTTGCAATCAGCCAAGATAGCACCACTGCAGTTCAGCCTGGGCAACAGAGCAAGACTTCGTCTCAAAAATAAATAAATAAATAAATAAATAAATAAATAAATAAATAAGTTTAAGTTGGCACAATCACTTTGGAAATCATATTATTATTATCTAGTATGGTTAAAGGCCATATAACATATCATCCAATCATCCCACTCCTAATCATACACTCTGCGGGCTTTCTTGCCTATGTGCCCAGGAGACAGGCACACTAATGTTTATGGCAAGAACTGGAATCAGCTACATATATATCAATAGAAAACTAGTGCAATTATGGTATAACCATAAAATGTAAACCTTCAGCAGTAAAAACGAATGAATGACAGCCTCCCACACCACAGATAACTCCTATATGTAATGTGCATCATGGGAAAATAAATGCAGTAGGAATTTGCTGTACTGGAAGCTTAAAAACCATCAAAACTAACTAATATTTGGATTGGGGATATATCTATACTTATTACACAAATCCTTAAAGAAACTCTATAATTTCTTTATAGATATTATGAAAACAGCAAGGTACTGGTACAAAAACAGGCACATAGACCAATGGAACAGAACAGAGAACTCAGAAATAAGACCACACATCTAAATAAAGGAATAATAATCACAAGACTCAGGATGGAGTCTCCTTTTGGGGGATGTGAATGGGCAGCAGCCCAGGGTAGTTTACAGGTTCTGTGTTTTACAACAGTGCTGGCTAAAGTCCAAACAACATATCATCCATTCCCTTTTAAAATGGAACTTTTAAAATAAATGTGTAATACTTGATGTTGATGATGTGTTCTGAAAACATTGAGTTGAAAGAATTGACTTAAATTCCTAATTCCTTAAACAGATTTTTTCAAAGTAAAATATGCTTGGTTTTTATAAAAATGAAAGAGAAAAGAATACCAAAGTTCATTGCAAGCATCCTTAACAAGAACTACTTACATTGGAACAAAACCACACAGAATTGTAAGGAGCCATGTGACAGAGAGGACCACGAGGCCATGAAAATGGCTTTGGCTACAAATAGGTCATTTGATCCTTGGCTCACTGGCATCTCTGTAGATTTTCATGTATACAATCTTCAATCTGATGTGCAAGGTAATTCCATCTTGCAAAGGATTTGATGTTACATTCTACCACACATACCACTGAATTAAACTTTTACAGAATTGGAAATGCACATCATTGATCAAAATAAATGAAACAAGAAAAGAGTAGAAAGGAATAACCAGTGACGGAATAGCAATATGAATAGAAAACACAATAGGACTGCGAAAACAAAGAAACAAACAAAACCACTTCAGAAGCACCTGATGGCATGCTATTTAGAATCATAGTGGTGTCCAAATCACTTCTATCACATATCATTCAATATCACAACAAAAGATGTTAAGTGTATTATAGAATGCTGATCGAATAGCCAGTTATTGAAAAAACTAGTTTCTCAATTCGAGCTAACAATTTCGTGATACTGCATCAAACCGAAGTTATTGGCATGCTAGATGTGTTGACTGAAGTATGAGATTCACATCTTTGTAAATGAAAAGCAATCTGATTAAGCAATATTTTTCTAAGTGAAAGCAAGTTAATTAGAGAAAGAAACAAAGGATGGCTACTCCAGAGACAGAGCAGTACTTCTTTTTTTAAGTGTAGGCAAATGTTTTTTGGAAGACGATATTTCAATAAGAAAACTGGCACTAGGGGCATACTTCCCCTAAATTTGAGACATTTTAGACAAAACAAAGACTTATTTTCAAGGCATTATTTTTATAGCACTAAAGTCTTGGAACTATTTGATCTAGTTATTCTATGTTCTCAACTGTGTTAACTCATTGAAGAGAACATTGCTGTTATTAAAGATATTGGCAAGAAAAACTCAGAGATACTGTTGTATCTCCTTTCTCTGCCTCAAACTGTTTTCCCCTCAACACCTAAGGCTCTGTGATGTCTCAAACTTTTAGTCATTAATTTAAAAAGTGAAGCTTATCATAGAATTAGAAAAAAACTATTTTAAAATTCATATGGATCCAAAAAAGAGCTCCTATAGCCAGAAGAATCCTAAGCAAAAAGAACAAAGCTGGAGGCATGAGGCTACCTGACTTAAAACTATACTACAAGGCTACAGTAACTGAAACAGCAAGGTACTGGTACAAAAACAGGCACATAGACCAATGGAACAGAATAGAGAACTCAGAAATAAGACCACACATCTAAAACCCTGTGATCTTCAATGAGCCCGACAAAAATAAGCAATGGGCAAAGGATTCCCTATTTAACAAATGGTGCTGGGAGAACTGGCTAGCAATCTGCAGAAAATTGAAACTGGACTCCTTCCTTACACCTTGCCCAAAAATTAACTTAAGATGGATTAAAGACTTAAATGTAAATCCCAAAACTATAAAAACCCTGGAAGAAAATCTAGGCAATACCAATCAGGACATAGGGATGGGCAAAGATTTTATGATGAAAATGCCAAAAGCAACTGCCACAAAAGCAAAAATTGACAAATGGGATCTAATTAAACAAAAGAGCTTCTGTAGAGTGAAAGAAACTATTATCAGAGTGAACAGACATCCTACAGAATGGGAGAAAATTTTTGCAGTCTGTCCACCTGACAAAGGTCTCATATTCAGAAGCTACAAAGAACTTAAGCAAATTTACACCAAAAAAAAAGCTTCATTAAAAAGTGGACAAAGGACCTAAACAGACACTTCTCAAAAGAAGACATACATGTGGCCAATAAACATAAGAAAAAAAGCTAAACATCACTGATCATTAGAAAAATGCAAATCAATACTACAATGAGATACCATCTCATGCCAGTCAGAATGGCAATTATTAAAAGTCAAGAAACAACAGATGCTGGCAAGGTTGCAGAGAAATAGGAAGGCTTTTACACTGTTGGTGGAAATGTAAATTGGTTCAACCATTGTGGAAGACAGTGTGGCAATTCCTCAAAGATTTAGAACCAGAAATACCATTTGACCCAGCAATCCCATTAAAGGTTATATACCCAAAGGAATATAAATCATTCTATTATAAAGGTATATGCATGTGTATGTTCATTGCAGCACTATTCACAATAGCAAAGACATGGAATCAACCCAAATGCCCACAAATGAGGAACTGGATAAAGAAAATATAGTACATATACACCACGGAATATTATGCAACCATAAAAAGGAATGAGATCAAGTCCTTTGCAGAGATACGAATGAAGCTGGAAGCCATTATCCTCAGCAAACTCACACAGGAACAGAAAACCAAACACTGCATGTTCTCACTTATAATTGGGAACTGAGCAATGAGAATACATGGAACCAGGGAGAGGAAAAACACACAATGGGGCCTGTTCAGGGAGGGCAGTGATGGGGGGATCATTAGGAAAAATAGCTAATGAATGCCAGGGTTAACACCTAGGTGATGGGTTGATAGGTACAGCCAACCACCATGGCACACGATTACCTATGTAACAAACCTGCACATCCTGCACACGTACCCTGGAACTTAAAATTAAATTAAATTAAATTAAATTAAAAGATAAGCTTAAAGCATTAAAGAAAAATAATTAGATAAAAGAAGTCTTTGATTTACAAAATCCTGAAACAATAGTTTTAATTTTGCTTTTAACATATACGTAAGTCCTTTAGTACAGCTCTCTTTCAGAGGTGCAGCTTAATTCCCTCTCTTAAGTGTGGCTTGGACTTAATGATGCACTTCTGATATGGCCTGTCTCTGTGTTCCCACCCAAATCTCATTTTGAATTGTCATGCGAATTCTAATCCCCACATATTGGCGGAGGGACTTCATGGGAGGTGATCGAATCATGGGGATGATTCCCCCAAGCTGTGGAAGTCAGCGGTTGAACCTATTTTTCCTAATGCTCCCCTCAGCACTGCCCTCCCATAATAGGCTCCAGTGTGTGATGTTCCTCTCCCTGTGTCCATGTGTTCTCATTGCTCAGCTCCCAGTTACAAGTGAGAACATGTGGTGTTTGGTTTCCTGTTCCTGTGTTAGCTTGCTGAGGATAATGGCTTCCAGCTTCATCCATATCCCTGCAAAGGACTTGATCTCATTCCTTTTTATGGCTGCATAATATTCCATGGTGTATATGTACCATATAAGGGGATTTTCCCCACTTCACTCTGCATTTTTCTCTCCTGCCACCATGTGAAGAATGACATGTTTGCTTCCCCTTCTGCCATGATTGTAAGTTTCCTGGGGCAGCCTCCTCAGCCATGCACAACTGTGAGTCAACTAAACCTCTTGCCTTTATAAATTACCCAGTCTCAGGTATTTCTTTATAGCAGTGTGAGAACAGACTAATACAACTTCTAACTGATAGAGTAATGTTGACATAACAGTTTGTGACTCTGGGTGTAGAATGTGAAACTCACTATGGCTTCCACCTTCTCTCTCTCTGTCTCTGGGATCATGAGCTCTTGGGGACCCAGCTGCTGTGCCATAAGCAGCCCTGCAGGAAGGTCCATGTGGCTAAGAACTGAGGCCCCCTGGGACCAGACAGCAAGGAACTAGGCTTTTCCAACAGCCATGTGACTAAGCCATGTTTCACGTGAATCCCTAGCCCCAGTGAAGCCCTCAGACGATGCAGCCCTAGGCTGACAACTGGACTGCAACCTTGTGAGAGGCCCTGAGCCAGAAGCACTCAGGAAAACCGCTCCTGGATTCCTGACCATTAGAAACTGTGGGAGATGATGAATATTTGTTGTTTTGAGCTGCTAAGTTTTACATAATTTGTTACACAATAGTAAATAACTAATACATTTTCACAAGAGAGGATGTATTATTACACATTAATTTGCATTTGCTCTAAATTTATCATCATCATATTACTATTTTTGAGACAGGGTCTTGCTCTGTCACCCAGGCTGGAGTGCAGTGGCATGATCACCATGCACTGCAGTGTCGACCTCCTGGGCTCAAGGGATCCTCTGATCTCAGCCTCTTGAGTAGCTGGGACTATAGGCATGAATTAACATGCCTGGCTAATTTTCTAATTTTTTTGTAGAGATGGGGGTTTCACCATGTTGCCCAGGCTGATCTTGAACTTCTGGAGTCAAATCTGCCTTCCTCTGCCTTCAACAGTGCTAGGATTGCAGGCGTGAGCCACCACACCTGGTCTAAATTAACTATAAGATATTAAACATGTAACTTAGTTTTAAAAGGAAAGGAGAATTTCCACGGCTGAAGAGGATGTATTTTATTACTATTCACAATGATCACTTTACTTGAACTTCAATTTCCAACTGTGTCCAAATTAAACACAAAAGGAAGATCCAGCCCTTCCTGGGCTGATTCTATCATGGCTCCCAACAACCAGCTCCTGGTCATTCACCTTCCCCCAGTTATTCAACCAACTCTAATGTAGGTGCTGCTGTGAAGGGATTTAGCAGATATAATTAAGGGCCTCAATTAGTTGACTTTAGGCTGAGTTTATCCTGCTTGGACTGTCCTAATAAGGAGAGTCCTTGAAAGGACTGGGTTCTTCCTGAGCATAGAGATTCACAGTGTGAGAGGGATTCAGCATAAGGGGTTTCCTCCACTGTGGGCTTTGAAAATGAAGGGGCTGTGTAGGAAAGGACGCTGGTGGGCACCATGCATTGAGTGCAGCCCTCCCTGTTCTCTACAGTGACAGCCAGTGAGGAACAGGGACCTCAGTCTTACAACTGCCAGAAACTGCATTCTGCCACCTCTGTATAAGCCTGAAGGAGGATTCAAAATGAAAACACAGGTTTAGGAAGACCGGAACAGAGATTCCATCCACATCATGCCCAGATTTCTGATTAAGAAACTATAAACAACAAATGAGTGTTATTTGGCCAGGCGTGGTAGTGCACACCTGTATCCTAACATTTGAGGAGCTGACACAGGAGGAACACTTGCAGCCAGGACTTTGAGACCAGCTAGGATAATATAGTGAGACACTCGTCTCTACATTTCTTTTTAATTAGCTGGGCATGGTGGCACTTGCCTGCAGTCCTAGCTACTCTGAAGACTGAGGTAGGAGGGTCCCTTGAGCCCAGGAATTTGAGGCTGCAGTGAGCCATGATCATGTGACTGCACTTCATCCTGGATGACAGAGGGAGACTCTGTCTCTAAAAATAAATCAATGAATACAATAAATGGGTGCTGTTTAAAGCCAATGTTTGTGACAATTTGTTACCCAGTCTTATAAAATTCATACACAGACTCAAAAGACTCCTGGAATGAACTGATGAATTGATACGCACACTAGTTACATAAAATAAAATCTTTTTTAACTTTTTTAGTGTTTTACATTTTATAATTTTCTGTGATGCAATTTAATACACTCATAATTCATTCATTCAGCCAAGAAAAAATAATTTAGTCCCTACAATGAACCAGGTATGCCCTCATATGCTCAAGTGCCTGACATTCTAGAAGCTTCACAAGAATGAGGTGGAGCCACTGGAGTGTTTTAGGTGGAGAAATGACACACTCTGACTCATAGTAGCAGGACCACTATAGAGAGAACACTCATGTAGCAGGTCATGGAACAGTGCTAGAGCCACAGTTCAGGAGTGAGAGGGTGGTGGGGATTAAGGGGAGAAGAGGGCCTGAGGGATGAGAGGGACGGAGGGAAGGGCTGGAGGAGCAGGAGGTGAGGAAAAGGAGCAGAGGAAAGAATTCCAAAGCAGCAGAACTCTTAGGTTTAAACACATTGTTTTATAGATTTTAATACATCCATCTACAGAGCCTCGCTGGGTGTTCTTTGCAGTTGGCCTTTAATATCTTATGTGGGTCTGCCTAGAAACTAATTGTTTTTTATGTTAATCAGGTTTAAAAAATACTAAGTATTCCTAAAAAATATACACTCCACTCACATGTGGATACTTCCTAAAAACAGGCAGTGCGTGAGCACTAGTGAGGGGCATTGTGACTGCACTGAACACTTACAACTGTGAGGTGAATAAAGTTTGTGCTGGCTCCTGGTTGCAACATATAGTAACATAGTGTGGTACTTTGTCTTGAGGAGATGTCCTGGACTCACACGGAAACTTAGGGCTACGGAATGAAGGTAAATTTAAAATAAAACAAGCGGGAGTCACAGATACACTGTCTGGGAAAGTGAAACTTAAGAGCTTTGTGAGTCCTGTTGTAATGCTTTTAGATGCATTTATATACCAACAGGCCAAAGTCACATTTTTTACCGATTAGATTCCTGATCATTCAGGGGTTACCAAGGTTATGCTACCCACTATAGTTAATAAACAAAAAGCAAACTGGTCTCTATTCTATCTCATGCACTCAGGCACAACTTTTCCAGATTTAAGGGGGAAAAAAAACCCTGTCTTTACACCTACAATCCCAGGGCGAGCTCACTCTCTGGCAACAAGCTCCCTGGGGTGATTTTTCTTCTAGAAGAGTACAGGAGGACAGGCAAGGAGTGGGAGGCAGGGAGTCCAGTTCAGGGACAGGGATTCCGGGATGAAAAGTGAAGGGAGAGGGCCAGGGACCTTGCCGAGGGTTTCTCCCTGGTTTCTCAGACAGCTCCTGGGCCAAGACTCAGGGAGACACTGAGACAGAACGCTTGGCACAAGAGTAGCGGGGTCAGGGCGAAGTCCCAGGGCCTCAAGCGTGGCTCTCAGGGTCTCAGGCCCCACAGGCGGTGTATGGGTTGGGGAGGCCCCGCGTTGGGGATTCTCTCCTCCTTCTCCTAACCTGTGTCGGGTCCTTCTTCCTGGATACTCACCGGGCGGCCCCAGTTCTCACTCCCATTAGGTGACAGGTTTTTAGAGAAGCCAATCAGCGTCGCCGCGGTCCTGGTTCTAAAGTCCTCGCTCACCCACCCGGACTCATTCTCCCCAGACGCCAAGGATGGTGGTCATGGCGCCCCGAACCCTCTTCCTGCTGCTCTCGGGGGCCCTGACCCTGACCGAGACCTGGGCGGGTGAGTGCGGGGTCAGGAGGGAAACGGCCCCTGCGCGGAGGAGGGAGGGGCCCGCCTGGCGGGGGCGCAGGACTCGGCAGCCGCGCCGGGAGGAGGGTCGGGCGGGTCTCAACCCCTCCTCGCCCCCAGGCTCCCACTCCATGAGGTATTTCAGCGCCGCCGTGTCCCGGCCCGGCCGCGGGGAGCCCCGCTTCATCGCCATGGGCTACGTGGACGACACGCAGTTCGTGCGGTTCGACAGCGACTCGGCGTGTCCGAGGATGGAGCCGCGGGCGCCGTGGGTGGAGCAGGAGGGGCCGGAGTATTGGGAAGAGGAGACACGGAACACCAAGGCCCACGCACAGACTGACAGAATGAACCTGCAGACCCTGCGCGGCTACTACAACCAGAGCGAGGCCAGTGAGTAACTCCGGCCCAGGGAGCAGATCACGACCCCCACCTCCATGCCCCACGGACGGCCCGGGTACTCCCGAGTCTCCGGGTCTGGGATCCACCCCGAGGCCGCGGGACCCGCCCAGACCCTCTACCTGGGAGAACCCCAAGGCGCCTTTACCAAAATCCCCGCGGGTGGGTCCGGGCGAGGGCGAGGCTCGGTGGGCGGGGCTGACCGAGGGGGTGGGGCCAGGTTCTCACACCCTCCAGTGGATGATTGGCTGCGACCTGGGGTCCGACGGACGCCTCCTCCGCGGGTATGAACAGTATGCCTACGATGGCAAGGATTACCTCGCCCTGAACGAGGACCTGCGCTCCTGGACCGCAGCGGACACTGCGGCTCAGATCTCCAAGCGCAAGTGTGAGGCGGCCAATGTGGCTGAACAAAGGAGAGCCTACCTGGAGGGCACGTGCGTGGAGTGGCTCCACAGATACCTGGAGAACGGGAAGGAGATGCTGCAGCGCGCGGGTACCAGGGGCAGTGGGGCGCCTCCCTGATCTCCTGTAGACCTCTCAGCCTGGCCTAGCACAAGGAGAGGAGGAAAATGGGACCAACACTAGAATATCGCCCTCCCTCTGGTCCTGAGGGAGAGGAATCCTCCTGGGTTTCCAGATCCTGTACCAGAGAGTGATTCTGAGGGCCCGTCCTGCTCTCTGGGACAATTAAGGGATGAAGTCTCTGAGGGAGTGGAGGGGAAGACAATCCCTGGAAGACTGATCAGGGGTTCCCTTTGACCCCACAGCAGCCTTGGCACCAGGACTTTTCCCCTCAGGCCTTGTTCTCTGCCTCACACTCAATGTGTGTGGGGGTCTGACTCCAGCTCCTCTGAGTCCCTTGGCCTCCACTCAGGTCAGAACCGGAGGTCCCTGCTCCCCCGCTCAGAGACTAGAACTTTCCAAGGAATAGGAGATTATCCCAGGTGCCCGTGTCCAGGCTGGTGTCTGGGTTCTGTGCTCCCTTCCCCACCCCAGGTATCTGGTTCATTCTTAGGATGGTCACATCCAGGTGCTGCTGGAGTGTCCCATGAGAGATGCAAAGTGCTTGAATTTTCTGACTCTTCCTTTCAGACCCCCCCAAGACACACGTGACCCACCACCCTGTCTTTGACTATGAGGCCACCCTGAGGTGCTGGGCCCTGGGCTTCTACCCTGCGGAGATCATACTGACCTGGCAGCGGGATGGGGAGGACCAGACCCAGGACGTGGAGCTCGTGGAGACCAGGCCTGCAGGGGATGGAACCTTCCAGAAGTGGGCAGCTGTGGTGGTGCCTTCTGGAGAGGAGCAGAGATACACGTGCCATGTGCAGCATGAGGGGCTGCCGGAGCCCCTCATGCTGAGATGGAGTAAGGAGGGAGATGGAGGCATCATGTCTGTTAGGGAAAGCAGGAGCCTCTCTGAAGACCTTTAACAGGGTCGGTGGTGAGGGCTGGGGGTCAGAGACCCTCACCTTCACCTCCTTTCCCAGAGCAGTCTTCCCTGCCCACCATCCCCATCATGGGTATCGTTGCTGGCCTGGTTGTCCTTGCAGCTGTAGTCACTGGAGCTGCGGTCGCTGCTGTGCTGTGGAGAAAGAAGAGCTCAGGTAAGGAAGGGGTGACAAGTGGGGTCTGAGTTTTCTTGTCCCACTGGGGGTTTCAAGCCCCAGGTAGAAGTGTGCCCTGCCTGGTTACTGGGAAGCACCATCCACACTCATGGGCCTACCCAGCCTGGGCCCTGTGTGCCAGCACCTTCTCTTTTGTAAAGCACCTGTGACAATGAAGGACAGATTTATTACCTTGATGATTGTAGTGATGGGGACCTGATCCCAGTAATCACAGGTCAGGAGAAGGTCCCTGGCTAAGGACAGACCTTAGGAGGGCAGTTGGTCGAGGACCCACATCTGCTTTCCTTGTTTTTCCTGATCCCGCCCTGGGTCTGCAGTCACACATTTCTGGAAACTTCTCGAGGGTCCAAGACTAGGAGGTTCCTCTAGGACCTCATGGCCCTGCCACCTTTCTGGCCTCTCACAGGACATTTTCTTCCCACAGATTGAAAAGGAGGGAGCTACTCTCAGGCTGCAAGTAAGTATGAAGGAGGCTGATCCCTGAGATCCTTGGGATCTTGTGTTTGGGAGCCCATGGGGGAGCTCACCCACCCCACAATTCCTCCTCTGGCCACATCTCCTGTGGTCTCTGACCAGGTGCTGTTTTTGTTCTACTCTAGGCAGTGACAGTGCCCAGGGCTCTAATGTGTCTCTCACGGCTTGTAAATGTGACACCCCGGGGGGCCTGATGTGTGTGGGTTGTTGAGGGGAACAGGGGACATAGCTGTGCTATGAGGTTTCTTTGACTTCAATGTATTGAGCATGTGATGGGCTGTTTAAAGTGTCACCCCTCACTGTGACTGATATGAATTTGTTCATGAATATTTTTCTGTAGTGTGAAACAGCTGCCCTGTGTGGGACTGAGTGGCAAGTCCCTTTGTGACTTCAAGAACCCTGACTTCTCTTTGTGCAGAGACCAGCCCACCCCTGTGCCCACCATGACCCTCTTCCTCATGCTGAACTGCATTCCTTCCCCAATCACCTTTCCTGTTCCAGAAAAGGGGCTGGGATGTCTCCGTCTCTGTCTCAAATTTGTGGTCCACTGAGCTATAACTTACTTCTGTATTAAAATTAGAATCTGAGTGTAAATTTACTTTTTCAAATTATTTCCAAGAGAGATTGATGGGTTAATTAAAGGAGAAGATTCCTGAAATTTGAGAGACAAAATAAATGGAAGACATGAGAACTTTCCACAGTACACGTGTTTCTTGTGCTGATTTGTTGCAGGAGAGGAGAGTAGATGGGGCTGCGCCCAGTGGGTGCTCAGGCCACCATGAACTTTATGTGGTCACTGCTCAGCTGGGTCATCTTTGCTGCTCCATTGTCCTTGGCCCTTCAGTAGAACCTTGTCCCACCAGGACCTGTGATCACATAGACTTGGATATCACCTAGGGTGGTCCCTACACGTAGAAGTTCCTGTGTTATCAGAAGAAAAATTTTCAGACCCCTACACCTCTTCCCCTCCTTCCAGGTCTCTTTCAATTGTATTTTCCATCTTTTTTTTTTTTTTTTTTTTTTTTTTTTTTTTTTTTTTTTTTTTTTGAGATGGAGTCTCACTCAGGCTGGAGTGCAGTGGTGCAATCTCAACTCATTGCAACCTCCACCTCCCGGGTTCAAGCAATTCTCCTGTCTCAGCCTCCCTAGTAACTGGGAGTACAGGCACATGCCACAATACCCAGCTAATTTTTTGTATTTTTAGTAAAGACGGGATTTCACCATGTTAGCCAGGATGGTCTTGATCTCCTGACCTTGTGATCTGCCCGCCTCTGCCTCCCAAAGTGCTGGGATTACAGGTGTAAGCCACCATGCCTGGCTTCCCCAACCTTCTTAAAGGAAGCAGATTCTGAAACTTCCCGAGAGGAGAGGTCCCAGAGTTTTTCATTGTAGTTTACTTTCTGTTGGAACTCCTCTTCTGCTCTCTCTCCTACTCTTCTTCCTGCCCTGAGTTGTAGTAATCCTATTGCTGGCTCCAAACCAAACTCATGGATTTGTAAAGCAGAGTCTAATTTAGATTCATATGTGGTTGGATAATTGGAGCCATAAGCCTTGGGTTATCTTTCCTCAAGAGACAAATATGGTTGTGTGCTGCAGTGTGCAGGAGGATTGGTGTGGGAGGAGGCAGGGAGGGAGGGAGGACACAAAAGCAGCCCTGGTGAGAAAAGCACTGGTGCATTTATATCCACATGAGATAATATTGTTCCACAGCGGCTACAAAATGACATTTGGCCTGAGTCTACATTAATAAAGATATTGCCTTTAGAATGGGGGGCGCACTACAGTAATCATCCATTCAAGTGGCATTTGTTGTCTGCTAGGTATTTGACTGTTTTTGCATTTAGAAAACATCGTTAAAGTAAAAACAGAAAAATTTCTGGCCTTGTCGTGTATACATTCTAGATGCAAGCTTGTCCAACCTGCAGCTCTCGGGATGCATGTGGCCCAGGACAGCTTTAGAATGTGACGATTTTTTTGCTTATCTGTAGTGGCAGATATCATGAAAATTATCCATGCATTTTTTTTCTTTTTTCTATTTTTTTCTGCTCATCAGCTGTCATTAGTGTATTTTTTGTGTGGCTCAAGACAATTCTTCTTCCTATGTGACCCAGGGAAGCCAAAAGATTGGACACCTCTGCAGGCAGATGATATAGTATAAGCAGAGTAGGAACAGAAAATGCTTGAGTTAGAAGGTGGCAAGTGCTGTGTGGCAGGTGATCCAGAGGGTGGGCTGTGGGTACAGGGAGGTGGCTGTTGTGCTGGGTGGTCAGCATGGGCCTTGTTGCAAATGTGACCTTGGAGTAAAGATTTGAGGGATGTGAGGAGTTGTCTACACGGATGTCTCAGAAAGTTCTTTTCAGGCAGGGAAACCTTCAGTGCAGATGCACTAGGGCAGGAAATTGTCTGTGTTCCTGGAAGGAGGAAGAGGCCAGAAGTGTTGAACAGAGAGAAACTGAAATGAAGTCAGAGGTGTGCCCAGAGCAGGTTGCCCTGGAGGGTGTGGGAAGGATGTTGACCTTTGCTCTGAATGACATGGGGAGTTAGAGGACAGTTTTGGAAAGTGGGACATGGTAGGACTTATCCTTTGAAAGCTTCTCTCTGGCTGCTGTGCTGAGAACAGAATTGAGAGGTGGGGGACTAGTGAGGCAGTGGGAAAAACGGTGGGAAAGGAGTGCAGTATTCCAGGATGGAGACGTCGCTTACCTTGACTGGGGTGTGAGCAGGGGAAATAGTGGGAAGTGATGGGATTCTGGATGAATTCACAGCACTTGCTAATGGATTTATCTGTGGTGTGAGAAAGAAGAATCAAGGACACCCACAGTATTGGACTGAGTGAGCAGAAGGGTGGAGCTGCTGTCAGTGGAGATGGGGAGACTCTGGCAGGAGCATACAGAGGAGAGGGCATTGCAGGCATCCAGTGGAGGTGACATCTACGAGGAATGAAGGTGAGGGGCCCAGATGCCTCTGCAGCTACAGATTCATCATCCAATCACTATCCTACTTCCACCACCCCTGTGTCTCAGAGCCAGAGCATTGATTCTCCCCTGTGCTGTCTGCACAGGTAGGTGAAAGTCAGGGAAGTTATGGTCTGCTGTTGGTTATAATAAGTCACAGATTATTGTGCTTTCTCAGATAATTAAAGAAATAATAAGAGAATTTGTAACTAGAACACTTACTGAGAAGACCACAATAATGCAAAGTTTTTTATTCATCTAAAGAAGGCAACAGAAGAAAAATAGTTGAGCAAGAAAGATAATATTAGAAGGCAGTAAATGAAAATGGACAGACTTAAACCCAATGAGGTCAACAATGACATTAAACGTAATGGACTCAGACACTCCAATTACAAGACAAATAGTGCAGAGGGATAAAAATAAATAAGTAAATAAATAAATAACCGTAGGCTATTTACAAAAGCCATAATTTCAGTAGAAGGTACAGAAAAGTTGAAAGTAAAAAGATAGAAAAGAAATACCAGACAAACATTCATGAAAGACCACATGGAGATGCCATTTAGAAAAATTACAGCACATGAGTCTCCTGAGACATAGAGTACATGTAGACAGCTCACAGTGTCTTTTTCCTTTTTTTCAGAGACAGGGTCTGTTGCCCAGGTTGAAATGCAATGGTGATATCAGACCTTACTGTAACCTCAAACTCCTGGGCTGAAGCAATTCTCCTGCCTCAGCCTTCTGAGTAGCTAGGACGAGAAGCCTGTGCCGCCACACCTGGCTATAATGTCTCATTTTCTCATTTGCTGTGGTGTGAACAAGGAAACAATATCATACCATGTATTTGACTTGCAGCAGGTACACAACAAATGTCAGGTGAATGAAGAAATAAAACCACTTAGTAATCCAAGCCATATCTACATTTACATTTTACAGGTGAGGAGCAACATCCCAGACAAGTAAAGTAAAATAAATTGATTTACATCATCCAGAGCAGAATCGAGAACACATTCCCTGTGCTAAAGGAATCAGAACTCTACTAGGGGTCATAGCAGATATCATGCAAGTCACATATGTTAATTACTAGAACTGGAGTTGATACATTTTGAGATATACTAAACCAAGGGTTTGGAAGGATTAACTGAATGCAGAAATAAAGGAAGAAAATAGATTTGTTTAAAAGATGGTTAGAATCTTTAAAGAAACAACATCTTTTTAAAGTGGCCTTATGTGGACCAAAGCAGAGATGAGCTCAAATGTCAGGTGGGAAAATGCTTGACTAAATGCAGCTCTAGACCCAAGGGAGACCTAAAAATCCTGGGACATTTTCGGTTGTCACGTGGGGATTGGTGGGAGGGGGTGAGTGGGGTGCTGCTGGCAAACCTCCCACAATGCACAGGACAGACCACAAGGGATTCTCTGTCTCAAATTCTTAATAGGGCTGCTGTTGAGAAACCCGCCCGAGAGGTAAGTGCTGTAATGTCCTCACCATTTCACAGATTAAGAAACTGAGGCACCAGGAAGAAAAGTGTCAGTAGGACCAGAGCTGAAGGTTGAATCCAGCCCACCTGGCTGCAGGGTCTTGGCTTCCCTGGTTAAGTCAGGGACCCAGGAGCCCACCACAAACAATCCCAGCTGCGCGGTGCCTTCATGGTCTGTGGCGCCCCCTGGTGTTGACACTGGGCCTGTGGCCAAATGAGGCTTGAGGGAAAAGGAAAACGGGTTTAGGTAGCGGGATCTCCTTCAGGCTCTCCAGATTTCAAGCCATGACTTACACTCAGAAAAAATAATGTTCACCTTAATTATCTCCCCAACCCTGTTTTTCCCAGTTCCGGCCAGTACCCTCCCTCGACTCCATCAACATCAGTACCTGCCAGATGCCCAGCACCCACCATGTGAGGAGTGAAAATGCCCCAGGACTAAAGGACAAGATGACGTTCCACCCCAGCCATCCCGCCCCTCCTAGAGCTCTAGCTCTGTGCATTTAGTGCTTAGGCTTTTAACCTGGGGTCCGCGAACCCACTTTCCCATGACACTGCGTGCAGAAGTGATGTTACATGCACACATGACTTCATTACAGGACATTGGATATTAATATTCATCCGATCAACTGGGGGCCCAAGATACCACTCTTCCCCCAACAGTTTGTGATCCTCTGAATTAAAGAAAGGGCAGAGATTGAGGGAGGCCCTAACTCCAAATCTTCTACCACTTCTAGGGAAGTGCTGAAAAGAAGTGCAAGGTACTCAACCCGCTCTGGGAATACAGCAGGAAAGCAGAGTGTTCATGGATTTCGAATTCCATCAAAGAAATACAACTTTGGCAAAATATCCAAGTCACTTTTCTAAGCCCCAGGCAGCAGCTCAAAACAAACAACACCAAAAACAAAACAAAATCTCTGCCCAGGTGAAATCATTGAAGACATAAAACTTTGTGAGACCTGTATTTAGAGCGAAGGACAATTCAATTTAGGGCTGCAGCAGAAAACCCCTACATCATATTGGGTTTTTCCTCATCATGAAGTTCTCCTGGAGGGACCTTCTCCCTTCAGCAGTGCATAGTGAGGCCATTTCTGTGTAAAAAGATAGAATCTCCTTGGATTCCTGATGTTTACATTTACTACTCACTTCTTTGACTTTGTAGATGCCAACTTCACATTCAACATCTTTCAATTATTTTCTTTACTTTGTCTAAGCAGAGAATTTAAACTTGTTTCTGAAGCAGAAAACCAGGGACTGGTTATTTGAGCTATCGCCCCACTCTGTGGCTCTCTTATGCAATAAGCATAAGAGATTGTGGGCCAACAGAATTTGTAGCAAGATAAACATAAACCCTTCATTTCAGCCTATGTTTCTGTTTGTCTGGTGATGTTCCAGTCTTGCTCCAGTCTTAACATTTTAAAAAGTATAATTTTACTTAAATTTCATTTTATAGGAAGTCATATATATTCATTTCTGTTAGGTTTCTCAGTGAAAGCCTCCTCAAAACAACTGTGAAGTAAAGACATGTAAATAAATTCATGGTGCTCCCATGTATTCATGCTCATTGCATCTTACAAATGTGTCAGCCCCACTGCAACAGATGGTGCATCAACAAATGGTGCTGGAAACCTGGATATCCACATGCAAAAGAATGATGCTGGACAAAATTTATGCCCTTCCATTACACCCTTTTCAAAAATTAAGTCAGAATGCCTTAAAGAACTAATCTTAAGAGTTAAACCTGTAAAACTCTTAAAAGAAAATACTGAGGGAAAGTCTTATGGTCATTAGAATTGGTAGTGGTTTCTTGGCTGGTGACCAAAAGTACAAGCAATAAAAGGAAAATGACAAATAAGACTTCATCAAAATGTAAAAACTTTTTTGCATCAAAGGACGCTATTAAGAGGTGAAAAGAGGCTAGGCGCAGTGGCTCACGCCTGTAATCCCAGCACTTTGGGAGGCCAAAGTGGGTGGATCACCTGAGGTCAGGAGTTCGAAATCAGCCTGGCCAACATGGCAAAACCCTGTCTCTACTAAAAATACAAAAATTAGCCGGGCGCAGTGGTGGGCACCTGTAATCCCAGCTACTCGGGAGGCTGAGGCAGGAGAATCGCTTGAACCTGGGAGGCAGAGGTTGCAATGAGCTGAGATTGCACCATTGCACTCCAGCTGGGGCATCAGAGAGAGACTCCGTCTCAAAAAAAAAAAAAAAAAAAAAAAAAAAAAAAAAAGTGAAAATAAAAGAAACTGCATAGAATAAGATAAAATATTTGCCAATCACATATCTGATAAAGAATTAATATCCAGACTACATACAGAACTACAACTTAACAATAGCAAAACAATCTCATTCAAAAATGGGTAAAAGACATGAATAGACAATTCTCCAGAGAAGATACACAGTAAGGACATAAAAATAAGGAATTCCAATAAGGACATGAAAATATGCTCAGCTTCACTAGTCCAGGTGTTGGTGAGGATGTGGAGAAAATGGAATGCTTGTGCACTGCTGCTGAGAGTGAACAACAGTGCAGCCATCATGGAAACAGGATGACGCTTTCTCAAGAAGGTAAACATAGAATTTCCATATGAAGCAACAATTCCACTTTTGGGTGTATACCCCCCAAAAATTGAAAGCAGGTATGCACACAGATAATTGTACAGTCATGCTCATAGCAGTGCTATTCCCAATAGCCAAAAGGTGGACGCAACCCAAGTGTCCATCAGAGGATGATTGGAAAAACAAAATGTGGTGCATATACACATGGAATATTAATCAGCCTTAAAAGTGAAGAATATTTGGATTGGATGGAACCTTGAAAACACGCTAAATAAAATAAGCCAAAAAAAAGGCAAATATGATATTTCACTTATATGAGGCACCTAGAATAAGCAAATTCACAAAAACAGAAAGTAGAATACAGGTTACCAGGGGCTGAAGGCAGGAACAATGGGCAGCTGTCATTTAATGGGTACAGTCTCTGTTGGGATGATGAAAATGTTCTGAAAATGCATGTTGGTGTTTGTGTAACCACCATCAATTGTAAATGTGCTTAATGCCAATGAATTGTACACTGAAAAAAATTGTTAGAAGGTAAATCGTATAGTATGTGTGTTTTACCACAATTTTAAAAATATATATCAACACCAAATCCAATCACTTCTCACTCCTCTGCCACCTCCACCCCAGAACCATCCTCACTAGGATAGAAAACCGGAAGGGCCTTCCAGCTGGGCTGCCTGCTGACTCTCATGCCCACTGTCCATCACCCACACAACAGAGAGAGCGTGCCTTTCCAATGGGAATTAGGGCATATCCTATGAACGCTCCAGCTCCTTCCCTTCTTAGGCACAAGGAAACCCCAGTTTCCCACCATTTCCTATGCACTCCTTATCACAGGGTCCCCTCTGGCCACTTTGGCCTCATCCCATTACTCTCAGCCTAGCTCATTCTTCTCCACTCACACCAGTTTCTTGTCTACTCCACCCTGTCTCCACCACCTGCCCCTGCTGTGACTCCCACATGCATGTGCTGCCCAGTGATCCACATGGCTCACTCCTCACACCATTAAGGTCCCTGCTTAAATGTCCCATGGTCAAGTGTTCAGAAATGTCTTGTCCAGTGACCTCTTCTGAAATCTATCCCCTGCCATTCCCACCACCGCCACCAATCTTCTAACCCAAGCATATTTTTCTTAATGGCAATTATCAGTGATACTATGACAGGTTTTATTTGTTTATTGTCTGTTGATTTATTAAGGTTACCAAGAAAGAAAGAACCAATAGCATAGGTACATAGATGATAGATAGATAATAGATAGATAGATGATAGATGATAGATAGATGTTAGATGATGATAGATAGATAGATAGATAGATAGATAGATAGATAGATAGATAGATAGACAGACAGATAGATAGATAGGTGATTTATTGGGCTAATTGGCTCACACAATTATGGAGGCTGAGAAGTCCCATGATAGACTGTCTGGAAGCTGGAGAACTAGAAAAGCCAGTAGCGTGGCTCAGTCCAAAGTCAAAGCCCTGAGGACCCAGAATACAGAACAGGAGGATAAAGGGGCTCACTGGTGCAAAAGTCAGAGTCCAAAGATCATCGAACCTGGAGTTTTGATGTCCAAGGCAGGAGAAGAAGGGTGTCCCAGCCCCAGTTCCAGAGAGAGAGTCAGAGACAGAGAGAGACAGAGAGACAGAGACAGAGAGAAATTTTACTTCTATCTACCTTTCTGTTCTATCTGGGCCACTAGGTGATTGGACTGTGGCTGCCCACAGTGAGAGAGGATCTTCCCCACCAGTCCACCCACTCACATCCCTTCCAGAAAAACTCTCACAGACACTGGTTTAATACTTACAATTTGAGTAGTCTATAATTTATTTTTTTGAGATTGGGCTTGCTGGCTGGAGTGCAGTGTTGTTCATGGCTCACTGCAGCCTGAATCTTCCAGGCTTAAGCAACCCTCCCACCTCAGACACCCAAGTAGCTGGGACTACAGGCATGTGCCACCAAGCCCGGCTAATTCTTTTGAATTTTTTGTAGAGACAGGGTTTCTCTATGTTGCCTAGGCTGGTCACAAACTCAGGGGCTCAAGCAATCTGCCAGCCTGAGCCTCCCAAAGTGCTGGAAGTACAGGCATGAGCCACCATGTCCATCCTGAGTGTTCTATGAATTTTTAAAATCACAACCATAGAAGAATCTTCATGTACAAACATGCTTGTCAAAATATTCTTTACCAAAAGACAAGATGAAAGCACATGGATCTAAAAGAACCCTGGTGACTTCTCCTTGTTTGAGATGGGATGCAGCTTCTAGAAGTGTGTAAATTTTATGCAGACTTTATGACATGGAAAACTACTTTCATAATAATACATTCAAAAAGCAACTTCAAAATAACCCACAACCACTCTGGGAGGCCAAGGTGGGTGGATCACTTGAGGTCAGGTGTTCAAAACCAGCCTGGCCAACAAGTGTAACCCCATCTATATTAAAAACACAAAATTAGCCAGGCGTGGTAGTGCACATCTGTAATCCCAGCTACTCGAGGGGCTGAGGCAGAAGACTCACTTGCATCCGAGATGCAGAGGTTGCAGTGAGCCGAGATCATGCCACTGCACTCCAGCCCCTGGGGGACAGAGTGAGACTCCATCTTAAAAAAAACCCCAAAACTTATGAATGCAACTTTCTACAATGAAAGCATATATAAAAATATATACATAGAAAACAAAAGAATGGAAGTCAGCATCACTGCAGAAGATAGCTCCAGGGATGACCATTCACACTGCAGTCCAGGAAGTTTCAATAATATGATAGCAGTGGTTCTTTGGAGGGGAAGCCTGGGTGATATTTCTTTCTTCTCTGCATTTTTTTTTCTTTAAAATTCAACCAGGTGTTGATGTGTGCATTTTAAATTCTTCTGTAATCAAATACATTTTCATATTTCTAATGTAGAAACATGTATTTTTAACATTCAAAATAAAACATTTGAAGTAAAATAACAATGAAAAGTGGCTGAACACTGTGGTGGGCACCTGTAGTCCCAGCTACTCAGGAGGCTGAGATAGGAGAATGGCTCGAGCTCACGAATTTGAGGCTATGGTCACACCTGTGAATAGTCACTGCTCTCCAGCCTGGAGAACATAGTGAGACCTCATATTTAAAATAATAATAATAAAAAGAAGTTCAGATCTCCTTCCAATCTCAACCTAAAACAAATTTCTCATTTGAAGTCCATATGGCAGAAATGCCTACTGATGGCTCCTCCAGAGAGTAAAAAAAATATTGTTCCTCTACAATCCATGACTCATCCTTCTGTTACAGTGTTCACCTGGGCAATGAAGTCAACACTGAGAATATCATCAATTTATGGAATACTGATTATCTCTTTTATAGATATATAAATTATAATTATGTATATATATATTATATTATAATATATATAATTACCATCACACCTGAGAGAGTGAGATGGATTCTTTTCTTCCACAGATGAAAATCTGAGTCCCTGAGAACCTAGGGTTTTGGTATGGGTTCACTGAAAATGTTGGCCTTGAGAATTAGGAAACAGCTTCCTGCAGGCCTGCCTGGATGTGAGCCACACCAATGGAGTCTCCACAACAGCAGGAAGAGCAACTGAGAACCCTGGAAGCTTCACACTTGTAATGTTCCATGTCCAGCGGCATTCAGTTGATGGATGGGCCAAGATAAGAATACAGCTCCTTCCTTCAATTGGGGGTGGCAGAGGGGTGAATCAGTCAGCTACACATAATGTGTGTGGTGTTTCTACAGATATCTTTAATTACTCTGCTGAGAACTCCACCTCAAATGTACAAAAACTCTGTACTCACTGGTAAGCAGGATCCTTTTTAGGAAAGCAAAGGACTTTGCTGACTTAAGCAAAACATTTTCTCTCCAAATGAATTATCCTGATTGGATAATCTCTTACTCCCACTGAAATTAGCCCCAGAGTTGCATTTGAGCATTTGGGTCAAAGACAGAAAGTCATTTTGAGGGTTGGGCCTGGCTGATCTTGGACAATGTTCTGAAAGAGGGCTTTCTACTTGCAGAAGAACAAAGGTTTGCTCTGGGTAGGAGATGATGTCCTGAGAAGAAAAGACAGATAGGCAGATTCTCAAGCAAACTCAGGAGTTTACTATACAAAAGATTTTGGAATACCTTCCTCAGCCTCTTTTTCATTGTGGTAAAATACACATAAACACAAAGGATACCACCGTAACCATTTAAAGTGCACAATGCAGTGACAATTCGTATGTTCACAATGTTATGTAACCATCATCACTCTCTAGTTCCAGAGTGTTTTTATCACCTCAGGGGGAACTCTGCACCCATTAAGCAGTCACCCTCCATTTCCACCTGCCAGCAGACCCTGTCGCCACAAATCCACTTCTTTCTCTATCGACTTGCCTCTTATGAATATTTCACAAAAATGGGCTCATAAGTTACGTAGCCTCCTGTGACTGGCTTCCTTCACTTGTCTTGTTTTCAAGATTCAGCAATGTTTTAGCATATGCCAGTGCTTTATTCATTTTATGACCAAATAATATTCTATTGTAGGAAAAAACTATATGTTGTTTCTCCATTCATTGGTCGATGGACATTTTCTTTTAAATCAAATAGGAAAAACAAGAGAGGAATTACAAATATATATATGTGTGTGTGTATATATATATGTCTTGTAGGGTTGAGACAATCTCAGTCAGCTTTTTTTAACCTGTGAATGTCGTGATTTCTCCATCATTTCTGAAGGAGAGTTTTGCAGACATACAATTCTTGGTTGATAGTCCTTTTACTTTCTCAGCTTTAAATTTGTCATCCCAACGCCTCCTGAACCCCATGGTTTCTGATGAAAATTTGTATGTTAATCTTATTGAGGATCCATTGTACCTGAAAAGTTCCTTCTCTGTTATTGCTTTCAAGATGGTCTGTTTGTCATTGGTGTAGACTGGTTGATTATAACGTCTCTCAGTGTGGACTTCTAAAATTCTTGCTGCTTAAAATGTATCAAGTTTGTTGGATGAGTAAAATTATATTTTTCATCAAATTTAGGAGATTTGAAGTTATTATTCCTCCAAATAGCCATTCTTCTTTTTCTCTCTCCTTTCTTTGAGGATTCCCAAAATGCATATGCTTGGTGTTGTCTCACAGTTTTCTTAAGTTCTGTTCATTTTTCTTCATAATTTTTTTTTATTTCTGCACCTCAAACTGGATAATTTCAATTGTCTTACCTTTAAGCTTGCCGATTCTTCATTCTGCATAGTGAAAGTTGCTTTTGTAAAAAAGTAAATAGTAAATTTACTCTAGTAAAATATAGTAAAAAATAGTAAAATTACTCTAGTAAATTTTTCATTTCAGTTATTGCACTTTTCAGCTCCAAAATTTCTATTTGGTTTCTTTTTAAACTTTCTATCTTTTTATTGATGTTCTCTATTTGAGTTAAGATAGTTCTTCTGATTTCCTTTAGTTTTTTGCCCATAGTTTCCTTTAGCTCTGTGAACATATTTAAGCAGTCAATTCAAAGTTGTTTGTCCAGTAAGTATGTTCAATGGCCTTTCTCAGGAACAGTTTCTGTCAATTCCTCTTTTTTCTTGAGAATGGGTCTTACTGTCTAGTTTAATTGCATACCTCATTTTTATTTTGAATACTAACATGTGGTGACTTTGAAAATCATGTTTTCTAAACTATTTTTGTATAGACTGTATTCTTTATTGTGTGTCATCACTGAAGTCTCTATTCTGTAAGCTTAGTGGTCAACTCATGATTTGATAGATATTTCCTGAAACATCTTCAGCCAAAAAGAAATAAGAAAAGAAAATTCAATCTTTTTATCTGGGCTCTCTGTGTGTTTTGGGGCATGCCCTCAACACTCTGCTGGGCAGTTTACAATACTGCTTTGGCCTTCATTTCCTACTTGTGCAGATATTGAAAGTTAGCAAGAGGTGTGAACACAGGGCATTCTCAGGTGCTTTGTGAGTCTGTGCGACATACTGGTCATGGAGGAGGCTATACAGATTCCCAGGGATATGGAAGCTTTTCAAAACCCATATTCCCATCTCACTCACCCAGTTTCTCCTCCAGGCTTTTCTGTATGTCTATTACCTTTCTCATGTAATATATTTTTGCCCCAAGGGGGCAGCTGCTGGTTCAGTGGCACTTAAATGGTTTTAGCAGATGCCCTCTGCCTCTGTGACCTAAGAGAGTTCTGAGTAGGGAAAATAAATGCAAACCATTTATTTTCTTTTTCTTTCTTTTTTTTCTTTTTTTAGACAAGGTCTTGCTCTGAAGCCCAAGCTGGAGTGCAGTTGCACGATCCTGGCTCACTGTAGCCTCAACCTCCTGGGCTTAAGCAATCCTCCCACCTCAGCCTCTTGAGTAGCTGAGACTACAGGCACATGCCATAATGCCCAGTTAATTTTTGTATTTTTTGTAGAAATGGAGTTTCACCATGTTGTCTAGGCTGGTCTCAAACTCCTGAACTCAAGAAATGCACCCAGCTGAGCTTCCCAAAGTGCTGTGATTACAGGCATGAGTCACCATGCCCAGCCCAATGTAAGCCATTTCTTATCATCCTTCACGGAGTCACCCAACAGGAAAAGGTAGACAACCACAACACTTTGAGAACATGGTCCACTCGGCTCCCACTGGCATTGGAGCCCACACTAAGGAACCAGGCTGCTGTCTTCAAGATCACTACTGACTTGAACAGGGAGGAATGGGCCAAGGGTAAGATATGGTGCCACAAAGCTCTGCTCCTGAGTTCCAGTTGATTTTTCTGGACTTGCTAGGTTGCAATAAACCTTTGATGATTTTTCAGGGTTCCAATGCAGTTGATTCTTTATCAACCCAATCAGAATATCTGGTGGTAGGTCCAGGAATTCTTGCTTTAACAGCTCTCCGAGGGAATTTTTTTTTTTTTTTTTTTGATGGAGTTTTGCTCTTGTTGCCCAGGGTGGAGTGCAATGGCATGATCCCGGCTAACTGCAACCTCTGCCTCCCGGGTTCAAGCGATTCTCCTTCCTCACCTCCCGAGTAGCTGGGACTACAGGCGCGAGCCACCACACCCAGCTAATTTTGTATATTTAGTAGAGACTGGGATTCTCCATGTTGATCAGTCTGGTCTCGAACTCCTGACCTCAGGTGATCCCCCCACCTCGGCCTCCCAAAGTGCTGGGATTACAGGCATGAGCCACCATGCCCAGCCAAGGGATTTTTTTTTATAGTGATGTTTTACAAGCACATTGTCTCTGTGCAGAGGTGGCCCTTGGAGTTCCTATGCCACTATGTTCTCTGATGTCACTCCTCAGCCACCTTTGAATTGTGCTTATGCATCAGAATTCCTGATCTGCTAAGTACTTCCAGGAAACTCATTCAAATGGTAAACATCATTAAGCACCTACCTTATTCTGGGTACTGTGCTCTATGGAGTTGAGCCTCAGATAAAAGAATCAAACTTCCTTGGACTTCATAGAAGTCAAAGGTGGGGGTGGGAAGATAAATAAAGAAATTATAGCACAGCATGTTATGTATTTTACATGACTTTTTTCTTTGAAAGCTACATTATTAATATTTTATGACAGTACTGAGTTACATATACCAAAGATTACAAATTAAAATTTATGCTTTCTTTCTCTCTTTTGTTCTTACATATTTCTCTGTTCTTGTAGATATTTTGAAATTGGGTATTATGGAGACAGTGCAACAGTTTCATTTATATGATAATGTTTTGTTTTACCTTTATTCATCAAAGAGAGATTTGTCAGCTGCAAATTTCTAGTTTGACATTGGTTTTCTCTCAGATCTTTGATGATTATGTTGCTTCTGGCTGCTGTGGCTGACAGGGGATAGTCAGTTACATTTTAACCAGTTGCTTCTTAGAGGATCTGTGTTTCTCCTGTGGCAAATTTTAAGATATCTGTTTCTCTTTAACATCTTCTGTTCCAGTGCAGTATGAGTAAATGTGGATCTCTTTTTATTCACAGTGCTATGATACTGTTAGGTATGAGTTCTAAATTTCTCTTAAAATAATTAACATGTCAGTATGTTCAATTCTTTGCCCTCTACTTTTAAACTTAACTTCCTCATAAAGCAACCTTTTTTGATCACCTGTTCCACCCTGACTCATCCTGATTACTTGCTCCAGCCTGACTCATTCTGGTTACCTGCTCCACCCTGACTCATTCCAGTCACCTGCTCCACCCTGACTCATTCTGATTACCTGCTCCACCCTGACTCATCCTGATTACTTGCCCCAGCCTGACTCATTCCAGTTACCTGCACCACCCTGACTCATTCTGATCACCTGTTTCACTCTCTTTAAATTAGCCAATCTGAATTAGTTTAGCCTGTGCGGTCTAACCCTAGCCAATAGGGGAATAACACAGCAGCAGGGGCCACGTGCATCAGGGATAAGAACCCCTTCCCCTTCCTTGTCCAGGGGTGTGCTCACCATTGCTCCATCTGTGAGGGCACACCCTTGTATAGAAGTAATTGCCTTGCTGAGAAGAAAAAAAGAAAATTTTATATTTGAGTGCTATTTCTTTGTGGCATCAAGACTTTATTTACAATAATACATTTCCTTAATATTTTAAGATAACCTCTTTCTGGAATGCCTCTTTCCATTTACTCACTTCTCTTCTTCTAGGAATTTAATTAGAGAAGAATTAAATTAAACCTCATTCAACCACCATATACACTGTGGAATCCAAAATAATGGCCTCACACATATGTCCAAGCCCTAAGACGCAGACCATTTAGATATGTTACTTTACACAGCAAAAGGGACTTTGCTGATATGATTAAGAGCATGGACCTTTAGATGTGGAGATTATTTTGTATTATTTGAGTGGCCCCAATCTGATTGCATGATTTCTTTAACCTGGAGATGACTGGAGAAATATGGGTCAGATGGAGTGCTGAATTTCATCTAGAATAATTTCTTAATCTAGTAAAATAACATCATCTCTGTTTTTTATTCTTTAATTAAGTGGCAAAATGCATTAAAAGGTTTAAAGTTTAAATATCCTTGCATTCTTGGGCTATATACCTTGGTCAAGACAGTCTGTTTATAACACATTGGTTAATACAGTCTACTAATATTTTTCTTAGAATTTTCACATCTAATTAATTAAAAGTGATTTTCCTATAATAGGTAAATAGTAGAAGGGGGTAAGTCTCTTATTTTACAAATTATTCAAATAATACATGAAAAGAAATGGAAGACTGAGACTACAACTCTTTGCCATCCGTAATGAATGAACAGATCTAGCCACTGAACAGCAATGACAATTTTCATCACCAAAGGGAAATAACCAGTATTAAACTCTTCCCCTTGTTGAAAAACATGATATAGTACCACCAAAACTCACGGGGAAAAAAATCTGAATAGATGCAAACCTCTATACCAAACTACAAATTTCTAGAAAATGCAGGTAATAGAGATGCATATTAAACCATAGTTTGGGGTGCAATCCACAAAATACAAACAACAGGAAACTCTACCAGACAATATTAATTTCAAAGGGATAACCTATAGAACAAATAAGAACAAAAAACTTATTTTTAAAGGTAAAACTAAACTATCATTTGGGATGATGAAAATATAAAATAGAACAAAGAAGTGAGGACCACAAAAGTCAGGATGTGATTGATTTTTATTTGAAAAAATAAAAATTTACTATTGAACTGGGTCAATTGATGGGGCTTCTAGGTCAGCTGACAAACTTCTCTCTCTTTCTGATGGTTAAAGAGTGTTTACTGTTGATTAAAGGTCACCATTTTAAGATTTTTTTTCTTTTATGTCACCTGTGTTTTATGACAAAAAGGCGAACGCAGAATAAAATGAGTTATGGGGCACGGTTCCTGTTCTGCACAAAGCCTCCTCCCCATCCTCCTCTCTGGACACTGAGCACCCAGAACAACCGGCAGCCCCAGGACCCCTGGCAGGGCTGTCTCATTACTGAGTGTGCATCCAGCTCCACGGTTCCTGTTCTGCACAAAGCCTCCTCCCCATCCTCCTCTCTGGACACTGAGCACCCAGAACAACCGGCAGCCCCAGGACCCCTGGCAAGGCTGTCTCATTACTGAGTGTGCATTCAGCTCCACGTCGCTGGAGACAATGTCCACAGTTTATTTCTTGAGTCCTGGATGAACCTGACAGGACATAGCTGAGGGGAAGCCTGGCCCAGTCTGCAGGCTTTGGCCATCAGTGTAGAGGGAGGAGGTCCTCATCTCTCCACTGGAGCAGTTACAACCAGAGCCTCCTCTCTGCGTGGGAGTGAGGCTCGGTCCTTCCCCTGAACACGGTGACAGGGATCTCTCCACAGGTAGAGATGACACCATTCCTCCTGTAACATGGTCCAATCTCACGCTTGTTCTGCTTTACAAGAAAGTTGACCCACGCTGGTGTCCCCTGAAGAAATCACAGGCACAGAGGAGGGACAGGTGGATTTCAGGGCTGTGCTTGATCTGGGAAAGGAAGAGTGCAGACCGCCAGGTGGCGCCGCTGCACTGCTTCTGCGCCCAGGAGGTGCCTGCTGGGGCTGAGATTGAAGGTGGGGAGAAGGATGTCACAGCTCATCGCACAGGTTCCCGGTAAAAATCCTCCTGCCCAGCCTAGCGGGCTCTCCCTTAATCAACTGTAGCGAAAACTGTCTCCTTCTCACGTTCCTGGAAGGTGCTTTTTGACACAAGAAAGAGGATGTGATTGCTAGGGTCATCATGTCATTGTTTATTGTGTTGCCAGTAAAGTGAAATCAAAATACACAATAAATAATAAAATAACCCATGATAAGCCAATGTTTATAATGTACTAACACCACTGAGCCAGTGTTTATAATGTACTGACACACTCCAAGTGTGGGCACAGCTGCAGACATGCCTTGTCTCTTGGGTCAGGACACAGGGTAGAGTGAAATGGAAAGAAATCCCAGTCACTGCAGAAAAGGGCCCCCATGGAAGAGGCCTGGCAGGGAGGCCAGCTGTCCCAGGGCCGCCATATTTAGGGATGACTCCCCCTTTCTGGGCAGCACTGGTTTTTTTAATTATTTTTGCATTCACAGTAGTTCTGAAATTGCAGGATGCTGAGACCCAGCACTGGTCAGTTACACCGTCTCTTCTTCACCATTAAATACTGTGCCAAACAGCACCTTCATACATTTCCATCCTCTTCCAGGAGAGAATCAAAACAACAATGGACACATTGATGCATGCAAAAATACTTTAAATATGTGCTATCAGAAGTAGCTACTAAAACATTAATTCCACTGAAATGAGGGAGGCTGTAAAAAAGAAAAACATTGCATACCCGTATTCACAGCAACATTACTCACCATAGCCAAGACAAGGAAGCAAACAAAGCACCCATCAACACATGAATAGATGAAGAACATGTGGTCTATGTAGGCAATGGAATATGATTCAACCTTAAAAAGAAGGAAATTCTGTTACATGCTGCAACATGGATGAACCTGGAGAACAATGCTAAGTGTAATAAGCCAATCACAAGGAAATTCCAATACTGCGCAATTCGTTATATGCGGCGTCTAAACTCTTAGAACCTGAAAGTAGAATGGCGGCTGCCAGTGGTTAGGCTGGGGGGATTCATGAGGAGATTTTCAGCGTAGAGTTTCAGTTTTGCAAGATGAAAAGTTCTAGAGATCTGTTGCATAACAATGTGCTACAGTTCATATTATAGTACTCTATACTTAAAAATTGTTACGATACCAAATTTTATATAATATGGATTTTGGCGCAATGAAAAAAATAATTAGCTCTGATACCAACTTAGGAAAAGAGCACATGAATTTATTGAAAATATATTAGCATGTGCTTACTATGAAAAAGAGATGCAGAAAACTGTGAGACAAAAAGAGAGATCCTTGCTACCCCAGCTATTATCCATGAACCAGCAGAACCAGCATCTCATGAAACTGGACAGAAAGGCTCACAGGCCCAGCCTTGACAGGTTGATCAGTCTGCATTTGTCAGGACCCCAGGTGGCTCCACTGCATGTAAAGCACCGCCCCAGATGGTGGTGGAGGGAGATCCTAGGAAGGTGACTCTGTCCCACAGGTAGAAGCCTCCAGTCCAGATGGGAGCAGCCAGAAGGGCCCAAGAGGGACATTTCCAAGAAAGTAAAATTAATAGAAAGTTCAAAGTCTCTAATTTCTTAACAGAGTCACAGAAATGGAACAGATATCAAAGTTAAATTAATGAGAGTTATCTAGAACATAAACAAAAACAAAGGCAAGTATTAACTTGAGGAAGAACAAATACTACGAAGCAAGTGAAAAGTAGTCAAGTTGACATATGAGAAGATGAGTCACGGAAAAAAACAAGGAGTGGCTGAATTAAACATAATTACTATATAAATATACTGGGAAAAGGAAAGAACGGGAAGAGTGAAAGAGAACAAGTGATGGATGTGGTGACGTCGCGTTCTCCCGGGCGGGGCCGGAGGCGGTACAGATGAGGGACACATTCATGGCTAACGGGACCGCTCTTCTCGTTCTGCGTTCTGCTTGCGGCCGGTAGTCTCTCCTCCCCGCCCATGGGCGGTGGTTGGAGGCAGGGGTGCGGAATCCGGCCGACCTCGCTGTCCTCGCCCTCTACCTTGTGGCATCGGTGGGGTTGGGGAGATGAGTTCTCCGACGCAGTAGGCACCCCTGCTCATCTCCTATGGCTGTTGCCTTTTGGGCAGCCCCTCTTCGCGGCGGTGGGGCTGTCGCGCCGGCCTGTCACGTTGCCCTTCCCTGGGCTTGTGAGGATTGGCTCCGCTTGGACCTTTGCGGTGCTCCCGGAGCCCTCCAGGTTGTCCCTCCGGTGCCGGAGGCCAAGCGGTGGTGTCCTTCCTGTTCCCAGCGCCCCCTCCTCCTGTCGCTGCTGCAGTGCCTGTGTGTGGGTCCTGAGGGGTTTTGGGGAGGTAGAATATTTTTATTTATTTAAATAAATTAAAAAATAAGAAAAAAATACAAAAAGAAAGAGAACAAGTAATCTTAACTATTGATTCCACCATCGTGCAGTGCAATAGTCAATGGCTGCAACTGAAAAATCAAGCAATGTTAATAAAGAAATGGTGCTTTGGTGCTTAGATATGTGAAAGTAAAGTCAAAAGAATCAGCTGAAACTTGAAAGTGGTTGCTCCCTAGAAAGGCAGAAATAGAGAAGAGAGGACTCTCCCTAGAAAGGCAGAGAAGACTCTCATTTTTCTCAGAAAGTCCTGCACAAATATTTACTCTTTCCATTATGTGCAATTGTAACTTCGAATAAAATAAAAACAAAAGCTTCAGTTAACATGCAAGTTTATGCCTAATGACAACTTTGTTTAACAATGATAAAGGGCTAACCAAAATATAAAAACACTTAAACATGTGGCTCACGCCTGTAATCCCAGCACTTTGGGAGGCCGAGGCGGGTGGATCATGAGGTCAGGAGATCGAGACCATCCTGGCTAACAAGGTGAAACCCCGTCTCTACTAAAAATACAAAAAATTAGCCGGGCGCGGTGGCGGGCGCCTGTAGTCCCAGCTACTCGGGAGGCTGAGGCAGGAGAATGGCGTGAACCCGGGAAGCGGAGCTTGCAGTGAGCCGAGATTGCGCCACTGCAGTCCGCAGTCCGACCTGGGCGACAGAGCGAGACTCCGTCTCAAAAAAAAAAAAAAAAAAAAAAAAAAAAAAAAAAACACTTAAACATAAAACAGCATGTATAAATGTGTATGTGACATCAACCCTGAATACAAACTTGAAAGAATATGTCTATAAACAACTCTGGATAGATAGCCCATGAATGAATTCCCCACTCCAGCATCTTTACTGGTTGTCCTGTGAGCCTAGGCAGGGAGGGGACCAGGACCTGACTAGGGTCCCTAATACTCTTGCTTCCAGGCAAGTCCTGCATGCACTCCTGCTGCACCAAGGGCTCCCATCCCTGCCTTGGTCTGTTTCATAGGTGCTCCCCTAACTCTCTGCCACCACTGCCTTACCTGGGTGGAGCTGAGGCCGCCCTGACCAAGAAGAGCACCAGCCATCTATGTGCCCCAAAACCAGAAAGTCAAAAGAAACCTTGCAACAGGGTCAGGAACTATCCCACCTCCCCACCTCCGAATCAGTCTGAACTGATGGCGGGAGATGCTGATGCTTGCTTTACTCATCCTCATTCCCTGTGCATTTATTTTTCACTAATTCAGTCCACATCTCCTAGAAGCAGACTGACCCCTACCCTTCATAATCAGGAAACCCCAGAGCACTTTTTATCCCCTCCAGAATATAACACTTCAGCTCTGCATCATCACATGAGGGCTCCAACTCTGTAGGGCAGGTGTACTCTCACAGCTTCAGGCCCTGAACATTTGCTTCAGATGTCCCCCCATCCCTTTCCAGACCTGTCTGTGTTGCTCTGAATCTGTCCTTCCCTGAGAACTGGCGGGGAGATATCAGGGAGGAGGGGAGATTTCTTTGTGCTATGTCAACGCATCTAGACAGAGCTCTCATTCTCCCTTGAACCTCAACTCTATCTGTTCCCAGACACTTGAAATAAAACACAGACCAGAAATGTCTATTTAAAAGCTAAATATCTATAGTATAAAATATGAAGACAGAGTAGAATGGGGTAATGCAGGAGAGTGTGACAGGGCGAGGGGACCTCAACGTGCCAGGAAAGTTGGTCCTTGGCTCCCCGGAGGAGCCGTCACCAGGACACTCACTCATAAAGCTCACCTGTGATAATACAACTACATGACATTAATGTATTAAAATATAATAAAATCATAACAAAATAACAAAAATAATATGGCACAGCTGCAAACACCTCATATATACTAACACTTTTCATCCACCCAACCACAAGAAATAAATGTTGTTACATTCCCTATTTCATAGATGAGAAAGCTGAGCCAGCAAGAGAAAAAGTGCTGGTGAGACCTGGGCAGGGCGTTCAATCCAGGCCGCCTGGCTGCAGAGTGTAGGTGCCCTCAGTAGAGCCAGTGGACCTGGGAGCTGAGAGCAGAGACTGAAATCCCAGCTGTGCACTGCCCTGGTGTTCTGTCTGAGTCAGGTGTTGATCTGGGCCTTGCAGGCTCATGTGCTCTGGAGAAAAGAGAGAAAATAGTAAGTGCTCCCCTGGGTGCACAGTGCTGCTTTTTACTCCCTGACGACTTCTCCCTCCTCAGTCAGTCCCAAATCAGATTCACCCTTTCTCCGAGGGAAGATGATGTCTGCACTTTTTTCTCCCTCCCATGGCACTTTTCCCAGCCCCTGCCAGTCCCCTCCCGTGACTCCATCAACATCAGCCCCTGCCCTGTGCCCACCAGCCACCATGCAAGGAGGAAAAGAGCCCCAGGACCAAAGGACAAGACCTGGGAAAAACCCAGTGCCCTCCCCTCCTCTCAAGCCTGGCCAGCTCTGACAGCAGGAGGACTCCCCAAAGAGAGGCTCTGGCCCTGGCTCCATGTCCTTCCAGGACTGGGCTGGGTCACACGCACAGTCCTTCTCTTCCTCAGTCCCCAGTCCCACCTCACCTGTAGAGACACCTGCACACAAAGGCAGGCCCTAAACACTGTGGTTCTGCCCTCCACCTGCAGCTCAGTGCTCCTCCACTTCCAGCCCTGAGCAGGCAGCTCCTAACTGGGAAGCCCATTAAGAATCCCATCAGCATGGCAGGCCCAGCATGGAAACATGTAGCTGCTATGGGGTCTGCAGCTGACCTGACCCTGGGAACCCCCTTGCTCAAGGAGCCTACCCTGACCCCCAGGCCCATGACCTGCACTTGGGCCATGCTTGCTCCAGCCTGGTCCACTCATCCCTGGAAGCACAGCTTCTCCCCAGGGCTGCTGCTTGGGGAGGCTGAAAGGCCTTCCTCTCCTGTTCCTAGCAGGGATTCCTAGCAGGGATTCCACCCAAGCCACTGCCCTCACAGCCCATAGGGGATCTTCTTCTCCCTGTGGAGTAGAAAGTTTCTTGAGACCCCTCAGCCTGAGGCTGCCTCTGCCCACCCTTTGCACTTGGGGATTGCCACTGCCACAGCCACTGTCTCCCACATGGACCGTCCTGGAGAGGGAGCTCCACATTTGAGTTCCTGTTTCATTTGATATAGGTTACAACATTAGTATTGGTGGAAATCCTTTTAAGACCCAGCTGAAACTACGAACATCTTTATTGGACATCAGCATTTAAAGCAGGAATTTTGAGAAATTAGCACATAACTTTCACACCCCTTTCCTGGCCAGTGCCCCAGTAACCTACAAGGCAACCGTTCCCGCCCACGGGGAACCAGAACTGACAATCCCTCTTCAGGAGACACCACAGGTGAGAGCAGGAGCGACCACAGACCTGCACTGCCCCTGCTGTGGGTGCCTCCTGGACAGGGCCCTCTTGCTGCAGGGCAGGGGATTAACCATCCCATCTGCCCAGGCCTGAGGGGCCAACTGACAGTGCAATTAGGTTCAAGGATGAGAAATCACCACCCCCTGCCAGATACACAGAAGTGGGGAAATGGCAGAAAGACTCGGGTTTCCCGGACACTCCAGGCTCTCAGTGTCTCCTGCACTGTCTCTGTCTTTGCAGAAACACAAAACTTGCTGCTTGCTCTTTTCCCCTCCCTTCAAACAACCTGACTGTGCGGGAAATCATCCTGACCATCTCTCACTCCAAACTCATCAGGCAGTGCTTATTCTTTCAAAGGTATTTTGTGACTGTGCAAGCAAATATAAATGTATATGTGTATGTTCTTTCTCCCTTTGCACACAAATTTTAGCAAACTACATATGCTTTTCTGTACCTTGCTGTTTTCCCTTACCATTGTATCACGGAGACCATCCCATGAAGAAATATCAAGAACTACACTATGTCTTTCTTTTTTTTGTTCAAAAATTTCTTGGCAATCCATTGTATAGGCATGCATTTTTTAAAATAGAGATTACCCTTTTTGAATGCAATGCTTTTTAACCAGCTCCCTACTGATAGACATTTGGATTATTTCTTTCAGAGAACAATTTGACATCATGTAGCATCATATGGGAAGGGTGCAGTGACCCCACTCTTACATGCATATCCTAGGGGAGCTCACATATTCTTGGAACCAGAAAACAATGTCCCAGCATGTTCATTGCAGCAGTGTCTTTAATAAAGACTATGTAGAGGTCAATGAAGTGGGGAAGAGATAAATTGTAGCATATTCCTCCCATGGAATACTATCTAGCAATGAAAACAAATGAACTATTTGTGTGAACATTGATCCCTCTCATAGACCATGTTAACGGAAAAAGCAAGCAAATGCATAACAAAATCAGCAAGAAACAATTTATAAAAAGTCTAAAAGTAAAGCCAGGCAAGGGGGCCTATACCCATAATCCTAGCATCTTGGGAGGCCAAGGTGGGCAGATTGCTTGACCCCAGGCGTTCCAGACAAGTCTGGGAAACATGATAAATCCCTTTCTCTACAAAAAATACAGAAATTAGCCAGGCATGGTGGCGCGAACCTCTAGTCCCAGCTACTCAAGAGGCCTAGAAGGGAGGAATTGCTTAAGCCTGGCAGGTAGAGGCTGAAGTGAGTTGTGTTTGTGCCACTGCATTTCAGTCCAGGTGACAAAGTGAAACCATGTTAAAAACAAACAAACAAACAAACAAAAACAAGAGACTTTTTAAAACTTAGTAAGAATATAGGGGCATACAGCAAATTCAAGACACACATTCACCAACAGTTCTTGCTTTGCTCAGTACAGTATTGACTGAAACACATGCATAACAGAACTGTGGAAAATCAGGGCTATCTACACGTGTTTCTGTTATTTTCTATGTATACTACATACAGCCAATAATATTAAAATGTCACAAATTGACAAACCTGGGTGGCAGCTTCACAAAGATTTCTTATAATTCTCTATTTTTTCTTCTAGCTAGAACTACCTTATAATAAAATTTGTGAAGTGAATCCACAGAAATTGAGCAAAATAAAAAGGAGTCGTTGAGTGTGAGGAAAGCTACAGAGAAGTAAAGACAGGTGGAGACATGACAATACTGAGCATGTTAGTGACCTTCACAGTAACTGACTTCCTGGAGGAGTGTGAGCTTAAGCCAGAATGAAGTGATAGACCGTGAAAGACGGATGAAGGAGTAGGAGCTTCTGGAGGCAAACATGGTATGTGGTTGGCTGGATTGGGATATGTGGAGGGACTCTGAACATTCTGCTTTAGGTCCAGCACTAGAGAAAGAGGACTCATCTTTATTTAGCACCTTCCACAATCTGTAGAGAAATCTGAAACATTGCAAAAGAAGATATATGAATGGCCAGTTCAGGGAAAAATGCAAAGTAAAACCACAGTGAGAAACCACTAAGCAACCATTAGAATGGCTAAAATTAAAATGATTAATAACTATAAATGCTAGCAAGGATGTGGAACAATCTGTACTCTCCTCCATTGCCTATAGGAATATAAAACATCCATTTTGAAAATCAATTTCATATCATCTAATAAAGTTAAACAAGCTAGTCCTCTACAGCTACCATTTCCACTCCTAGGTATATACTCAAGAGAAATGAAGATTTTGTCGATAATCCCTGCATAAAAATGTTCATAGTTTCTTTATTTATAATAGTAAAAAACAAGAAATAACTGCCAATGTACAAAAATCATGATTCAGTCATACAATGGAATATTATCAGCAATGAAAATGAAAGAACTACTGATACGTGCACCAACATGGATTGATCACATAGGTATTACAACAAGCGCAAAAAGCCAGATACAAGGGAGGCCATATGGGATGAGTAGATTTGTATGAAGTTTTAAAACAGGAAGAACTGTGCTATCCTGACAGCCGTCAGATCAATGGCTGCTGGAGGCATGGAAGCTGAGTTGAAGGGAGAAAAAGGGATCTTTATGTACATTGATAGTGGCAAGAGTAATATGCTGTATTGGTCAAAATTCATTGATAAATTTGATGAAGATCTGATTATTTTGGTATATGTACATTTTATAAGCTTAAAAAGCTTATAATAAAAATTATAAAGTTGCTGATAAAAATAATAATTAAAAATATTAGCAACAAAATCCAACAGTATACCAAAAGAATAATACACCATGATATGTCCATATATGGCAAACACACAGCTAACATTATACTGAATAGGGACAAGCTTATAGCCTCTCCTCCAAGATCTGGAAGAAGGCTAAGACTCCCACTTTCATCACTTTTATTCTACACAGCACTAGAAGTCCTAGCAAGAGCAATCAGCCAAGAGGAGGAAATAAAGGGCATCCAAATTGGAAAGGAGAAAGCCAACTTAGCCTTATTCGCAAATGGCATAATCTTTTACTCAGAAAAAACTAAATATTGGCCGGGTGCGGTGGCTCACGCCTGTAATCCCAGCACTTTGGGAGGCCAAGGCAGGCGGATCACGAGGTCAGGAGATCGAGACCATCCTGGCTAAAATTGTGAAACCCCGTCTCTACTAAAAATACAAAAAAAAAAAAAAAAAAAAAAAATTAGCTGGTCGTGGTGGCGGGCGCCTGTAGTCCCAGCTACTCAGGAGGCTGAGACAGGAGAATGGCGTGAACCCAGGAGGTGGAGCTTGCAGTGAGCCGAGATCGCGCCACTGCACTCCAGCCTGGATGACAGAGCGAGACTCCATCTCAAAAAAAGAAAAAAAAAGAAAGAAAGAAAAATCTAAATATTCCACCAAATAAATGGTGAGAACTAATAAGCAAATTCAGTAAAATTACAGGATACAAAATCAATGTGCAAACTTTCAGAGCATTTATATATACAAGCACCATATAATCTGAAGAAGAAATCAAGAAAGCAAAACTATTTACAAATCATAAAGAGGATAAAATAACTAAGAATCAATTTACCCCAGGAAGTAAAACAAAAACTATAAGGCACTGATGAAGGAAATTGAAGAGTACACAAAACTGGAAGAGCCAGGCGCAGTGGCACATACCTGTAATCCTGGCACTTTGGGATGATGAGACAGGAGAATTGTTTGAGCCTGGGAGTTCAAGACTAGCCTGGGAAACATAGTGAGACCTTGTCTCTAAGGAAAAAAAATAAAACACACAAATTGGGAGAATTAATATTGTTAAATATTAATTTAAAAAATGAAACACATAAATTTCATGCACATAAATTGGGAGAATATTGTTAAAATGTTCATACTACCCAAAGCAATTTACAGATTCAATTCAATCCCTATCAAAATACCAATATCATTATTCACAGAAATAGAAAAAATTATGAAATTCATATGGAATCATAAAATATCCCAAATAGCCAAAGCAATCGTGAGCAAGAAGAACAAAGCTAGAGGTATCACACTTCCTGAATTCAGAATACAATATAAAGTTATAGTAACCAAATCAGCATGGTGCTGGCATAAAAACAGACGCATAGACTAATGGAATACAAAAGAGAACTCACAATAAATCCATGCATTGATAGCCAACTCATTTTTGGTAAAGAATATACAATGGAGAAAGAACAAAAGCAACAATGGAGAATAAATGGAGCTGGGAAAATGCTACCAGATGCAGAAGAATACCACTAGAACCCTGTCTCCCACCATATACAGAAATCAACTCAAAATGGATTAAAGATTTAAATGTAAGTCCCAAAACTATAAAACTACTAGAAGAATGCTTACAGGAAACACTCCAGACATGGGTCTGGGCAAAGACTTTATGGCTAAGACCTCAAAAGCACAGGCAACAAAAATAAAATAGACAAGTGGGACTATATTAAACTAAATAGCTTCAGCACAGCAAATGAAACAATCAACAGAATGAAGAGGCAACCTGTTGAATAGAGAAAATATTTGCTATGTATTCATCCAGCAAGGAACTAACATCTAGAATATACAAGGAACTTAAAAAACTCAGCAGTAAAAACACAAATAATCCAATTAAAAAATGGATAAAGTGTCTGAATAGATGTTTCTCAAAAGGAGACATACAAATGGTCAACAGGTATACGAAAAACACTCAACCTTATTAAATATCAGGAAAATGCAAATCAAAACTATAATGAAATATCATCTTATCCTATTTAGAATGGCTACTAATAGGAAATAAAAAATAATGGATAGTGGTGAGCATGTGGAGAAATGGGAACTGTTGTACACTCTTGGGAAAGTAAGTACAGCAATTATGGAAATCAGTATAATGATTTCTCAAAAAACAAAAAATAGAACTACTATTGGATCCAACAACTCCACTCATGGGTATTTATATAAAGGAAAAGAAATCAATATATCAAAAGACTACCTGCACCCCCAGGTTTATTGAAGCACTATTCACAGTAGCGAAGTTATGAAATCAATGGGTGAATTCATCAATGGGTGAATGAATAAATGGTGGTATATATATACACAATGGAATGCAATTCAGCCATAAAAAAGAATGAAATCCTGTCAGTTGCAGAAACATGGATGTAACCAAAGGTCATTACGTTAGGTGAAATAAGCCAAGCAAGGAAAGACAAATACCACATGTTGTCACTAATATGTGCGAGCCAAAAAGGTTAATCTTAGGGAGGTAGAGAGAGTAGAATGACAGTTCCCAGAAACTGGGAAGAATGTAGGGGTGGGAAAATATAGAGATGCAGGTTAATGGATGCAAATGTCCAATTATATAGAGAAAATAAGTTCTAATGTTTGATAGCACAGCAGACTGACTAAAGTTAACAAAAATGTATATTTCAAAATAGCTATAAGAGTGGATTTGGCTGGGCGTGGTGGCTCATGCCTGTGATCCCAGCACTTTGGGAGGCCGAGGAGGGTGGATCATGAGGTCAGGAGATCGAGACCATCCTGGCTAACATGGTGAAACCCCGTCTCTACTAAAAATACAAAAAAAAAAAAAAAATTAGCCGGGCGTGGTGGTGGGTGCCTGTAGTCCCAGCTACTCGGGAGGCTGAGGCAGGAGAATGGTGTGAACCCGGGAGGCGAAGCTTGCAGTGAGCCGAGATCGTGCCACTGCACTCCAGTCTGGGTGATGGTGTGAGACTCCATCTCAAAAAACAAAACAAAACAAAAAAGAGTGAATTTAAAATGTTCTCAACAGAAAGAAATGATAAATGCTTGAGGTCATGGATACCCTAAATATCTTGACTGATACACACATTCTATGCATGTATCAAAATGTCACATGTATCCCATAAATATGTACAAATATTATGTACCAATTTTAAAAAATTTAAAAAATAAACAACACAATATGGGGCATTTAAAAAGGTACAAAAATTATGAGCATGATAAAAATTTGGCAAATATTTTCCTTTTTATTAAGATCTTTTTCATTCCATAAGTTTAAGGAGAATAAAGCCCATAAAGCATCAGAAGAAGTTGCTCTCCTGAAAGAGACTCTTCTGCTCAGTTAAAAAGACAGAAACAGAATCACTGGAGTGAGTAGGACTTTGGAGAACTGCACAGCACCATGTCTTAGTGTCTGGGATTACACAGACTTAGGGAGGAGGCCTCACCTTCCGGGAAGAACTAAACTTTGGTTCTCTTTCTTGTTTTTTCTATTGCAAGACCAAAATTTTAGAAAACCAAGAGAAAGATTTCAGCCAAAGGGTTGTACTGTCTATTACTCTCTTTTATTTTTTAGAACATCCATTGTCAAAGACGATCCAGACTGTTACAAGAGGAATTGTGTTCCTACGCCACCAAAATCCACATGTTGAAGCCCTATGTTGAGAAGGCAGAAGAAGTGGCCATCTACAAGCAAAGGAAAGAGGCCTCAGAAGAGATCAACCCTGCAGCACCTTGACCTTGCACCTGTGGCCTCTGGAACTGTGAGACAACACATATTTATTATTTAAGTCACCCAGCCTTTGGTACTTTGTTATGGCAGCCCTAGCAAATTAAAACAGGAATATTACCTTTTCTACCTTGTCCTATGTATGAACATGAGATTTTTTTAGGAGTATGAATTACCTGAGATTTCAAAAGATAGAGTGAGGCAATTGAAAATAGATGATATAGGGTCATTTCCAAGCCTCTGAGTGTCCCCTGGCCACCACAGAAAAATGAAGATGTTCCCATTCCCTTTCAGTTTCACACAAAGCAAAAGTTGTAGACCTAAACTGACATAGAATCGCCAACTGCATTAATTTATTTGAGATAATGAGGGAGCTAGTTTTGCCCAAATTTCACAGAAAGACGATGAACAAGTAGTAAGCTAAAGAGGCTTCTTTTGCAGGGGATTGCAGGTATTATATGTTTTTCTCCTACTTTTAAGATACATTTTCCTAAAAAGTTTTGTCTAGGAGTAAATGTCATCACTTTGTTTTTTTTCCTCCCAATTGAATCACTTGTTCCTCCCTGCATTTCAGTAATGTTGCTAGCATGGAGGTGTTTGTCCATGATTCACAGATGATTCAAAGAGCAGAGAGCTTCTCCTGAGGTCACACAGCACGTAAGCGGTGGAACAATGGCAGGCACATGACTCTCTAGGCCCCTAGTCCAGTTTTCTGGGTTCTGTGAGAATTGTAGCCCTTGGTTTCTGTTACATGTGGTTCTCTTTTGAGCCAGAGAAGGAGGACGCACAGTGAGAAGAAAGTGCCAGAGCCCCAAGTCCTGGCTTAGATTTACTGGGCTGGGGCATGGAGAGAGAGGCTGCCACTGATTCTCTTAACTCCAGCTTCTATTACCAGTCACTAAGCTGAAAGCAGGAAAGTTTATCTTCTGCACTTGGTCCATCAGAACTAAGATGGCAGAAAGCCCCACTATCTACCACGGAAAAGACAAGGGTCCCTCTTACCTTGAACCATGACCCAGCTTTCTAACTACATATGTTTTTCTGCACATGTAGCTATTTTTCTTCTCATCAAGCTCCAGTACTCACAGTGCAAACACAGGAGATACTGAGCCTGATGCTCTGATGGAAGCTCTGAGTTGAGATTTTATTTTATACTTAGGTGCCTCTGAGTCATTAGAGTTTTTTGCCTGACTCCACTCTGGCCCCATTTCAATCAAGGTCTATATGCTCTGGGACCTCTCCAGGTTCTCATCAGAAATGAAAAAAAAAAAAAAAAAAAGCCATGTCCAGCTCCTGGGTCCTCCCTGATAGCAGTGAGAGGCAGCTCCTAATGGGAGAGAGCCTTGGGGTGACCAAGGCCTCACAGACTTCATTATTCCTGGACCACATGGCTCCAGCCTCCTGATCACAATGGATCAGTGGTCTTAGATTCCGCTCCAATATTTGAAGTTTTTTGTTCTTCGGCCTCGGCAAATGCTCTCTGGTTGAGATGAAGGGAAAAGACACAGAGACGCAAAAGCTGTGACTGCATGGAACTCTGTCCCAGGTACCTCCCGGTGTTCTCTTACTTATGTTGGCCATGTCCTCATGAATTTAGTGAAATGGGCATGTTGTCTCTGAGTGGAAGGGAGGGGACACTACTGGGCAGAGCTCCATCGAAGGGTGGCTGGTGTCCTCTATACCATTTATCTACACATGTTGGGGTTTTTCTAGCATGAAATGTCCCAGAGGCAGCCAAACCCGAAGCTTGGCTCCTCCAAGGAATGAGTGTGAGTATCATAGCCCTGGCCAATGAGCACTGAACTCTAGAGAGACCAAGAGACCTTCTAAATATTGGGACACTTTAGTTCTGAATCCCAGAAGTTGGCTTCTTGCCTGGGAGGCAGGTGTCACTGCATCTGATCCAAAAAAGCAGCCCCATAGCTCAAGATGCTCTTCTGGATTTCTGCCTCTTCCTGGTTCCTGGCCAAGCAAATCTTCACTGCTTTGCTAGCCCATCTATAAATTCAACCAGACTTTTCAAATATGTATTTTCCTCCCATTTTTCCAGTTGTACTCAATGGGAGAAGTGGTCCAAATGACCTAATCAGCAATTGCTGGAAACCAAAGTAACAGTATACAATTCTATGTGTTAATATCATATACCAAGAGAGAAAATGTATAGATATCAGTAGTAGCCATTTAAGCACTGTAATAATATCTATCTATATCCCATGAGTATAATATATATAAATAAATGATAACAAGAAAATAATCTTTATGTGTAATACATGACTATGACTCTGACAGACAAACCTGAGAGCATAGTACGACACTTATCACCTTCACTCATGAGCCAGATAGTGTGAAATGAGAAGCAGAGATTTGAAATGTGTTGCAAAACTCTCTCAAAGAAAGTAGAGTAATATTTTTCGTGAGCAAATCAAAGCAATCTCCTCACAAATCACATTGGACTTATAATGTGTGGGATGTGTCTTTATTAAAATGGAGGTAATCCTAGGTATGTGGTCTTTTTTACATGAACCGTACTGTCACTGGCTCACTAGCTGTCACTTCACCAACAATCATTCCATTTAATAAAAGGGAGATCCCCCCATGGGCCAGCATTTCCCAGGTGGAGGCCTCTTGCAGGCATAATCTTCCAACAGAGAATTTCCCTGGGAACCTAGAAAGAAGAGAAGAGGCTCAAGCAAAAAGGATGAAAGAAATAGCAACAACGGCGGGGCATGGTGGCTCACACCTGTAATCCCAGCACTTTGGGAGGCCGGAGAGGGTGGATCACCTGAGGTCAGGAGTTCAAGACCAGACTGCCCAACATGGGGAAACTCCGTTTCTACTAAAAATACAAAAAATTAGCTGGGTGTAGTAGCGGGCGCCTGTAATCCCAGCTACTCTGGAGGCTGAGGCAGGAGAATCGCTTGAACTCAGGAGGTGGAGGTTGCAGTGAGCCGAGATGGTGCCACTGCACTCCAGCATGGGCAACGAGAGCAAAACTCCATCTAAAAAAAAAAAAAAAAAAAAAAAAACCAACAGCGATAATATCATACACTGTCATGGTGCTATGTGTTAATCCGTGTCCTTAGCACTTTCAAAATATGAATTCATTTAATTGTCACGATACATCTATGGGGTGTGCCTGCTAATTTTCCGTTTTCAGGTGATACAATAGGAAAGAAGGTCGCCTACAAGTCGTGGTGGAGCTGGGCTTGCACGCAGACAATCCTGCCCCAGGGCCATGCTCACATCTCTGCACTATCCAGAATGTGAGGGTGGGTGGAGAGTCCAGCTCAGGGAGAGTGATTGGAGAGACAGAATAATAAGAAGAGTGGGCAGACTGGATCACTCTGATGGTTCTGGGGCTTCTCTTCCAGGAGAGAAGACAAAAATTATGTCACCATCAAGGAAAGTATCCAAAATCTCTGGCTTAAACCTGGGCGTCTCCAGCTCTGGGACAGGTGGCTGGGCAGGGAAGACAAACTAAGCCAAGGGCCCAGCTCGGAAGAGTTTCCTTTCCTGAGAATTCTGCAGGAGTTTCCCTGACCTCATGGCCACCTCTCATACTTTGCTCTTGTTTTTTCCCCAGGGCCGATGAGGGCGTCGTATCTGGTTTCCAGTGGGGTCTAAAGACGCCATCACAGTGAGTGGAGATTGGGCTTCATAAAGTGGGAGATCTCCAGGATCCTTCCTGGAATCCAAGATTCCCAGAGAAGCCGGATCCCGCGTCCCGGAACCCAACTCCTGCTGCTCTATGAGCCCTGACCTTGGGGAGACCTGGGCTAGTGAGGAGAGGATCAAGATGAACTGGGCTGGGGAGGCAGGAGGTAAAGGGCGGCCTGGAGAGCTCAGCAGCTCCTCCCACGGCTCTTCTGCCCCGGTCTGGGGTCTGCAGACTCCTCAGGTCATATCTCCAAGTACGCCGCCCCACGCCACCCTCCCGTGGTCCCTGTCCCTCTGTCCCCTCCCCAGCTCCCCCTACACCGTAAGAAGCTCCCAGGTAAGCGGCTCCAGGGCCGGGCGGTAGGCAGGAGGGAGCCCGGGAGGCTGGGTACCCGCGGGGAGGCGGAGAGAGCGCGTCAGGGAGACAGGGAGCGGGCGGGGTCCCTCTCCAGCCCTCAAGGTGCCGGTTCCCGGGGCCCAGGCTCGCACTCCCGGGTACTTGGAGGCCAGGGGAGAGGGAGGACTGTGGCAGGTGAGGCAAGGAGCTGTCTGAGCCGCTCAGCAGCCTCCAGGAGTCAGCTCTCTCCAGGCCTGTCTTCACTCCAGTGCCTGGTCCTGCCCAGGCCCCCACTCCCACTCTGCTCTCAACCTGGCCCCAGACAGGATCCCAAACAACTCCTGTTCCTAATGTGAAAAATGTTTCTGCCGCTTTAGGCAGAACTTGCTTTAGAGCACTGGCGCAGACTTCCGCAGGTCTTGTGTCTGAATTTCTTGGCACTGTGTCTTTTCTCACTTATTCTTCTGCAAGGAAGGAATTATATCACTGGTTGGATGAGACAATTGGCTCAGATGGGTTCATTGAGCACTCACCCACTGGGCAAGTGTCTGTCGGGGCCAGCTCTGGGCCAGATGTGCCCAAGGCTCTATAGCTAGTTGGTGGAAAGGCCTGGAGGGTTCATATTCAAGTCCACCTGACTTGAAAACTCATATTGACCTTACTTAAGTACTGATTCCCCCTTTATAATCCATGCCATAAACTTCATTGTCTTATTTTAAGAAATTGCCACAGCAGCCTTTAGCAACCACCCTCTTGAACAGCCGGTAGTCATCAACATTGAGGCAAGACCCTCCTCCAGCAAAAAGATTAAAATTAGCTGAAGCCTCAGACGACCGTTAGCATTTTTTAGCAATAGAGTAATTTTAAATTAAGGTATGTACATAGTTCTTTCATACATAATGCTATTGTACACTTACTAGGCTACAGTAGAGTGTGAATATAACTTTTATATGTACTGGAAAAACAAAAATTTGTGTGACTTGTTTGTTGCCATGGTCTGAAACCAAATCTGCAGTATCTCTGAGGTATGTCTATAATTTCCCTTTCCCTCTTTTGAACTTGTTCTTGTCCTTGTCTGGTCCTGCAAGCTGTATGAGTTTGCCTTCTCTGGTAGGTCTGGGGACATTGTATCCCTTATAACCTTGGTTCCTGGCATATGACACTGGTACCAAGCTCTGTTGGACTAGTGAGGCTCCCCACACACCTCCTGAACTAGAGCAAAAGCTCTGTGCACACACCGTGCATGTGTGAGCCTGTGAGGAGACGGGGCCTTCCTGCAGGCTGTTCTGAAGGGGTGTTCTGTTGTGACTGGAGGAAATAGCAATGGGCCCCTGGGCAGAAGTGGCTCAGAATGGAATGGATGGCCCCAGTTTTGATCATCTGGGAACAGGAAGATTCTCAGATAAAAACCCATGTTTTAGAAGACAAAACTGCCCAAGAGTGGACAGCAGCTAACCAGTAAGCTATCTGGGATATCACTGTACACTGGGAGGGAAGATGGCCTCTGCCATGGTGTAGGGTGCCTGACCCAGACAAGGAGGCCTTCCTAGGGGTCAGTGCTTCTGAAGCACCTTTAAATGAGGACAAATACCTCATGTTCATGATTAGCCGACTTGTGCCCACTCAGTGGAAAAAGAACCCAGAATTTTGCAAAATTTTCAGAGAGAGGGATTCCCCTCTTGTCTCTTAGTGCTAGGGTTATGCATGACTCGTGCTTGAATTACAGTGTGTACTCAGCTGAAAGTCTTAATTATTAGAATATAAGAGGCCCAAACTACTGCTGTTACAGATATGTAAAACTACACAGTATAAGTTTAAACAACCCACAACCAATTAACAGTGAAGATAAATTAACAACCTTTGTAAATTTAAAACAAGATTGGCAACCCTTTAGAAAAAAAATGAGACTGTTGCAAAACAATCTAAATGATACACTAATAACAAACCTTCATGAAAATGACATTTCAACCATCTGAATTTCTGCTTTAAGTTATAAACTCCAAAATGAACTAACTCCCAATAATTTACAGTAGGGAGCTCTAAGCCACAAATAAAGGTGTCAGGACAGACCTGAGACCTGGAGTGAGCACATCCCTCAGGGTCATGAGTCAATCCTGTAAGACCCTTCCTCCCTCAGACACTCCATCCAGTCATCAGGAGGTCAAGAAAAGTTCCCCACAGCACTAAGACCCAACCACCTCACTGTCCTCACCTCCATGGACAGAGCCCAGGTGAAAGCCACCCCTGCTCCTCCTCCCGCATCCCCCACAGGCTCAGCACCATCGTCGGCCTGGAGTGCACCTGGACTGAGCTCATCATGCTCTGTCCCTGTTTGTGTCAGTCACACTGGGTCCCCCACATACTCTGCACTTGCATCCCCACAAGGCTCTGCACACCTCTATTCTGTCTCCCCGACCTCCCCAGCCACAGAAATCTTCCCAGTGCACCCCCTGGATTTCTCAGTCCACATCAGCAAAACCTCCTCAGCCTCTCTCAGGATGTTCCTGCATCTCACAGCTCCAGCAGCAACCTGGGTCTCCCTGAGGACATGACCCCCTCCGAAGTCCTCCCACATGGGGGAGTTTCCCCAGGGACTTGTACCCCTGGGTTCAGAGGTGAGGTGGGGTCCTTGCTCCTCATTGTGGTTCTCAGAACTTTCTGCCTCCCTCCTCCCTAAAACCCCTAGGCTGTCATCAGATTAGAGCCCCATTTGCCTCACTGTAACCATTCCCTGTGGGCCCCAGGCTGTTCTTCTCAATCCTGAGTCTTGTAGCTCCTGGTTCACTGTCACCCTCTCCAGCATTGCTGTCTCCTTGACTCTTGGTGACTTCAACATACGCAGATGTGGTGGGCTGAGTAATGGTCCCCAAAGATGTCCAGTCTTAATCGTTGGAACCTGTGAACAGGTTGCATTGCGTGGCAAAAGGGATATTACTCATGTAATGAAGATTAAGGACCTTAAAATAGGGAGATTCTGCTGGACTCTCTGTGTGGGCCCAATCAAATCACAAGAGCCATTAAAAGCAGAGAGCCTGCCCTGGTTGGAGTCAGATTCTGCAGAGGAGGAAGGCAGAGGAGAAGCTGGAGAGGAGAGGTCAGAAGTTCCAAGCAGGAGGATTGAATGTGCCTTAGGCACCGTGTGTGAGTATCTGAGAGAAGGCTCTAGGAGCTAAGGGTGGCTCTTAACAAGGAAGTGGAAACCTCTTTTCTATCTGCAAGGAAGTGAATTCAGGCAAGAACCTGAATGAGCTTGGAAGTGGATTCTTCCCCAGAGTCTATGGAAAGGAATGCAGACCTTCCCGTATGTTGATCTTAGCCCCATGAGACTGGGTGGACTTGCAATCCACACGACTGTGCCATGATACATAGGTGCTGTTTAAAGCCATTTGGTTTGTGGTAATTTTTATGGCAGCAATAGACACCCACACAGCAGAGAAGATGCCCTCGCTTCCTGGCCTCTCAGATCCTGGAACTCCTCTCCTCCATGATCTTCTCCTGTCTGCCTGAATCTCATGCCCTTGTTATCCCCTAGGCCTCATCATGGCTAAGAACCCCAGCCCTTCCATACTCTCTATCTCACACTACCCACTCTCTGACCATCTTTCCACTCATCCCCTTGCAAGGTGGCCACAGGCTCTGAGGACACAGATACTATCATTTTATCATATGCTGTGATGTAATATCAGTGGACCACTCATTGCATATGTGCTTGCTTTCCACGCTTGGAGTCTACCCTGTAGTACATCAATTCCAACAATCGTTCCACCCTCCTGGGATTCCCAATCCAGTGATCCTGCCATCTACTCACTGTCCCTCACCCTGGGTGTCCTGTCCTCCCTCCTCACCCATTTTGAATTCTATGGTAAATAATTTCCATCCCTCCCTTCCCTCTCCCTTGAATTGTCACACTCACCTGGCAAAACTACACAGCTGGTGGGTTCCACCTCTGCCTATGCTGAGCCTGCCCCCATGAGCTGCAGGAGGCTGGAGAGCAGCACACAGTACGCTGACTGGTCTCTTAAAATTTAGGATTCCAAACCACATAGGAAGTCCCTACCATGGCCAGCAATCACCCTCTCCCTGCATGGCTCACCCTCAGCCTCCTCCTGGCCTGGGTGACTCTTACACACCTTTTCTTTGTGCTCACACATCCAACCTGCCTTCCCCATTCTTACTTCAGCTGATGACCTTGCTTCCCACTTCACTGAGAAAACTGAACACATTAGAAGACAACTTCACAGATTCCACCACTGTCTGCTCATGCATTTGCAGCTGCACCACATGTCAGGCGTTTTACCATGTGAGGGACTGTTGTGGGTTAACCCTTCTGCTCCCAGCCAGAGCCAGACCCTCTTCTGGTGCCCCAATTGCCATCCCTTATCATCTACTTAAAGGTGTCAGTTCATCAATTAATACCATTTTTATCTTTATCGTCAACCTTTTTCCTCTCTCCCCACTGGATCATTGTGGCAGTCATGAGAATGCACATCCCAGCCCCTCATCTAGAAGAAGCAGAATTGATGATGGCCCCAGCTCTTGAAGTCTGAAATCTATTGCCACATTTGCTCTGAGACTATGCCCACCCCTGGCTTTTTCCAGCCAATGATTGAGGAAAGTAGGGCAGAAACTAAGGCAGGACATTCCTCTTCTGAAGGCTGACTGAAGCTCCAGGGCTCCCTGCCACCCTTACTGAACTTCCCTTAGCCTGCACAGGGTCTAGGATGCTTCCAGCTGACCTTCCTGCACTCTCTACATCACTGAGGCTCAGAGTTGCTTTGTGGTCCAGTGGCTTTCCCAGCATTTTCTGTCTCATGAATTTCTCTCACAAGTATTTCCCCTAATAAATCCTTACATGTTTACTACTGTATTGGGGTCCGCTTCTCAGGGGACCCTAACTAACACAAGTGGCATGAAGGGTGATCCATGAAAACAGGCAAAAATGGGAATTTGAAATAAGCTTCCCACTGCCTGGCAGGCCAAGAGGATGCCACCCGGGTTGGTGGCAGACACAGAAAGTCCATGGCACAAGGTGCAGCTGAGCAGCTGGGGGTCTCACCAGTGCTGAGCTGAGAAGTTGCCTTGGTTAGGGAGTGCTATGGCACATGCAGTGATAGAATGCCCTGCATAATAAGGACAGGGTTGGAAGAAACCTACAAAGACAGTGGCTTTGGCTAGTTACTTCTCAGCTGCATCGATGCTGTGTAAAAAGATAATGAGAATCTGCGGATTGTTGACAGCTATGACTGGCTACATTTGACACCCTCGGCAGTGTCTCATGGACAGGTCTTTATCTCCTGTAGCAAAAGGGCAGATAGCAAGGAATGTTAGCTCTACATCACTATGAGGGCCACAGTGCTCCAGAGATGTTTGACACTCAGCCAAGGCAGGCCTGTTACAGGAAAGTCAGGGCTTTGGTGGGGAAACCTGAGATTCTGCAAACTGGAACAGGATTATGCGATGCGTGCCCTCCAGGATCTTCTGGGCATGCAGAGGAGGCTCACCCTTCTCTAGTAATGGTTCCCACTTTCACTGCTGGAAGATGCTACACAATCCTCACCCCTATGATGCCGCGGGAATCCCACTCAGGAGGTTTGCAGGAACTAGCCAGCACGTCCCCATAGGAGCCCAGGGACTACTTCTGGGATTGGAATTTGAGGGTGTTTGATCAAGGAACCAGAATTTCAGGCTGGATGAATATAATCCTTTGGCTTGAAGACACTTTCTCAGGGCATGGATTTATCAAACACTCCAGGACTTTGATAAGTGGAGTAAACCCACTGCTGGGGTGTATCCACATAGTCTAGAAAAAAACATGCCCAACTCTCAACAAGGTAGACATGTCTTAGTTGCCCTGGAACATGTAGAGGATGGAATAACAAGCTGAGGGGAGTGGGCTTGGTGAAGGCCTACCAAAACCATGCTCTACAAGAGGGCCCAGAGGACACACCTTCCACCAGAGCCTCAGGAACTTGATGGTGAGAGGGACCTGCATCACTAAGAAGTGTCAGGGTATTGTCCTTTGTAGGCTGGGGGTGATGGTAGTAAAGATAGTCCCAGAGTTTCATTTCTAATATCACTGGGGAGAGTGTGGCCCTGAAGAGACAAAGACCAAGTGGTGGCAGTGACTTGCAAAAGCCAGAGGGCACGGTTACTATGGCAACCTCGGAGGAGAAGCCAAGAGGACTCAAGCTGCAGGGAATGTGGGGAAGTATAATAGAGGGTGGTGTCCCAGGGTTAGGACAGGCAGCTGGTTGATATCTATGATAAGAAAGCAAGAATTGAGAAGCAGGAGGGTGAAGGTGTTTGACTCAATACAAAATCATGATCCCATCCTCAATGCCTAGACCTCAGCCAAGATGCAGATTCAGATCTCAGTGACAGAGGAAGAGTCCATATCTCTAGGCGGAATACTCTGCAACCCCGTGGAAGTATATGCTGGGACAATTCCCTCAGTCCTTCGGCAAAGGACCATATAGCCATTTACTCAGGAGATTGTACACTGGGGAAAGGAAACAGGCAGAACTGGGGGGATTATTGACACTGGGTGTGAACTGACATTGATGCTCAGATGCCCACAGCACTATCATGTCTCTCATCACAGTGGGGCTTATGGAGCTCAGGGAGTAAACCTGGACACATTATGGCCCACAATGGAACTACTGGATCCATAGACCCAGCCCTGGTTATCTTCCTATACCCTGAGTGCACAATTGACACTGATGCACTGCTAAGTGGAGTTACCCCCACCCTGGGTCCCTAGTCTGTGGAGTAAGGACTTTCATTGTGCTGAAAGCCAAAGGGAAACCTCTGACACTGCCCCCATCCTGGCCAAATCAAAAATCATAGTGTGTCCCAGGGTGGGTCTTGTGTAAGATACTTCAAGTATTGTGGGGATCACATCACCATTACAGAGCTGAAGGATGTGGGATGGTGTTGGGGCTGTCTATTGTCTCTACGTAATCCAGCAACCTGTCCCTGAAGAAGCCTGATGAAGCCTAAAGAATGAACTAGATTACTCCAGGTCTGGCCAAGTAGGAGTTATAATTGCAGCTTTTGTGCTGTCTGGATATCACTGGTAGAGCAGATTAATAAACCCTTGGACACAGAGCATGCAGCTGTGGATTTGGTGACTGCATTTCTTTCCACTCCAATTAGAAAGTGGATATGGAGTGATTCACATTCATGTGGGATCCTCAAAACATTGATTTATCATTTGTCTCAGGGCTATTGTAACTCCCCTGACCTCTATAGTATAGTCTTAAGACTATACTAAACATACTGGATATCCAATAGGATATTAAATCAGCTCATATCATTGACAACTTCCTGTTGACCTGGCTGGATGAGCAGCAGGTAGAAAGTGCACTGTAGTGCTTGGCAAAACACGGGCACTCCAGAAGGTGAAGATAAACCTTACAAAGCTTCCAGAGTGGCCACTCGGCCAGGTGCAGTGGCTCACGCCTGTAATCCCAGCACTTTGGAAGGCTGAGGTGGATGGATCACCTGAGGTTGGGAGTTGGAGACTAGCCTGACCAACACGGAGAAACCCCGTCTCTACTAAAAATACAAAATTATCCAGGCATGGTGGCCCATGCTGGTAATCCCAGCTACTTGGGAGGCTGAGGCAGGAGAATCACTTGAACCCAGGAGGCAGAGATTGCAGTGAGCCAAGATCGTGCCATTGCACTCCAGAGTGGGCAACAAGAGCAAAATTCCATCTCAAAAAGAAAAAGATAGTGGGCATTGAAGTAAAGTTTTATGGGTGAACAATGGCCAAGTGTTTAGGGGAATGCAGGTGTGTCCCCTCCAAGGTAACAGACAAACTGTTTCATCTTGCATCCTCACCAGAAAGAAGGAAGCACACTGCCTGATGAGCCTCTTCCAGTTCTGACAACACCACTTTCCACATCTAGGTATGTTGCTTTGGCCCACACTCTAGGTGACATAGGAGGAGGCCAGCTTCAAGTAGGGCCCACACAGAAAAGGACCCTGCAGCAGATCCAGGCCATGGTGCGAGCAGCCACCATCTCTCAGACCCCCTGGTGCTGGTGATGCCATTGGTAGGGAAAGATGCAGGATGGAGCTGAACCAAGCACCAGTGGGAAAGTCACAGTGAAAGGCCTGGGATTCTGGAGTAAGGTCATGTCATTCACAGCAGAGACATATGCCACCTATTAGAAGCAACTTTTAGTGTCCCTTGTCCTGATTAGATAGAATGCTTGACCACGGGACACCAAGCAACTATGTGGTTCGAGTGCCTGTGTGACCCACAGAGTCATAGATTAGACAGGCCCAACAGCATCCATCGTGAGGTGAAAATGGTCCACCTGGGTTGAGCTTGAATCCCATGTTTACACCCAGAGAAAATACCCAAGTCTGAAGTGGCACTGAACAACCAAACAGACAAATGGAAGTTAGCCAGCCTTCACCATGGGTCAGCCCTGGTTTGGTAGGATGAGTTCATGAATGGAGCAACCACAGTGGCAGGCATGAGGCTACGTATGGGGCCAACAGCACTGACTCCCCCCTACCAAGGCAGATCCAGCTGCCGACACCTCTGAATGTCCAACTCATTAGCAATTGAGGCCCATGATGTGCCCCAGTGGGGCACTATTTCTTTAGGTGACTAACTAGCCACTAAGTAACAAGTTGACTACATTTAGCTACTTCCATCCTGGAAGGGCCAGAGGTTCATCTTCACAGGGATAGGCTCCTATTCCATGGGTGTTTTCATGTCCTGCTCTCAGAAACTCAGCCAGCACCTCTCCGGGTGCTGTTGACATTCCTGATCTGCAGGCTAGGCGGTGCTCCTAGCCCATTATCTGCCTGAAGGACCCACTTGGCTGGGAAAGTTTCAGTGTTTCCATGGCTGTGGGTTCCACTAATCCTATCACCATCTGCACCATCCAGAGGCTGCCAGCCACAAGGAATGCTGGACAGGTCTTCTACAGGCAAAACTCAGTGCCAGCCTGGAGGAAGCACTCTGAGAGGTGGGTGCCATCTTTTAGGACACGGTGCATTGTTTGAATCAGAGATGTCTCTAGAGTGCTGTGTTCTCAATAGGAAGAACATGTGTGTCCAGGGATCAAAAGATGGAAGCAGGTTTGGCTCCACGTCCAATCCCTTAGATTCACCCAATGGGGTATTTTGCACGTTTTATCTTCCAACACTGGGCTGTGCAGGGTACGAGGTCCTGGTTTCCAAGGAGGGTACCCTTAAAAGGAGACAAAAGACAGCCCACTGAACTACACATTATGGTTGTCACGAGAGAAGTTTTGATAGTTTGTGCCCAGAGACCACCTGGTGAAAAGAGGATTCTCCTCCTCTCCAGGCCCAGGTAACAGATCCTCATCTTCAGGAGAAGGCATGGCTACTTTCACACAATGAGGGCGGAAGTGTGTGTGGAAACCAGAGATCCACCTGGGGGCCTTCTGGTTTCCCTTACCTCATTGTAAGTGTGAGCAGAATCATCCAGCAATTCAGCCTGAGACAGCTTGATTTCCAAGGACCCAGACCCGTCAGGGCAGAAGGTTTGAGTAATGCTGGGTAATCTCCCAAGGCCCTGCTCCTGTGCTCTGACATCCTCAGTAGCATTGGTGCTGAGGTCCTGCTTCCAATGGGCTGTTCCCAACCAGTGACAGATCACACCAGTGACACGAAAGCAGGACATTCCTGGGAGACCAGGGACTCCTCTGATGGCCAACTGTAGCTCAAGGACTCCTCCATGGCCTTGCTTAACTCTCCTTAGATTGCCTGTGGTCTACGGCACATCCAGTAAACCTTGTCTCCTTCTGTCCATCACTGGGGATCACCTTTGCATCTTGTTGCCTTTCCCAGGGTAACCTACCTCCCTTGCCATATCACCTGACAGGTGTGTCCCCTAATAAAATGCTATAACTTTAATCCCATGATGGAACTTGCTTTTTGGAGCATTTGGACTATAAAATCATTTTCATCTGCCCACTAGTGATCTCTTACTTATTCCAATGTGTAAAATCTTTTTGTTTATTCAACTTCTACCTGCATTGGCTCCATTTTGCTGGTATTTGTAGTATGCTTTTGAGTTCCTCAATGTTTATTGTTTAATCACTAAATTTGGGGGTAGTTTGTTACACAGCAATGGATAACTAATGAAGCCCTCTTACATTTCCATTATTCTATAGAAGTTAACTACATCTCTTTTATTTTCTCCTATTTTGATAATATTAGCCACACATAGGGTTTCTAGTTTCTCAACACCTATTCTTTTCTTTATTTTAGTTTCTTTTCTCCTTTATTCCTTCCCTTTTTTTTTTTTTTTTTTTGAGATGGAGTCTCACTCTCTTGCCCAGGCTAAAGTGCAGTGGCTCAATCTCAGCTCACTGCAAGCTCTGCCTCCTGGGTTCATGCCATTCTCCTGATTCAGCTTCCCAAGTAGCTGGGACTACAGGCACCTGCCACCACGCCCAGCTAATTTTTTTGTATTTTCAGTAGAGACGGGGTTTCACCATGTTAGCCAGGAAAGTCTCTATCTCCTGACCTCATGATCTGCCTGCCTCAGCCTCCCAAAGTGCTGGGATTGCAGGCATGAGCCACCACACCTGGCCTCTTCCTTCCCTTTCTCCTTCCTTCTAACCCTCCCTCCCTCTCTTTCTTCTCTATTTCCATTCAACCTATCACCTTCCCTCCTTCTTGCTCCCTTTCCTTCCCCTTCCCCTTCCTTCTTTTCTTCTTTCACTTTTTCCTCCATTCCTCCTTCTTTCCCTCCCTTCCTCCATTTTTTCCTTTTTATTATAAAATTTTCCTAAAATATAAAATAACCCTATGTGATTGGGCTGTAAGTAAGCATTTTCTGAATCTATATGTCAAAAGCATAATGTCTTTTATATGAGAAACAAGTAAACAACAGGAAGTTATTAACAGAATAAAAATGCTTGCTATAATTCTACCACCAAGACGGTGACTTTTAACACAATTCCTTCAACTCAGTGTTTTCAGAACACATCATCAACATCAAGTATTACACATTTATTGTAAAAGTTTAAGTAGCCACAATTACTTTGGAAATCATATTATCATTATCTAGTATGGTTAAAGTCCATACAATGTATCATGCAACCAACCCATTCCTAATCATCCACTCTGGGGGCTTTGGGGCTTTCTTGCCTATGTGCACAGGAGACATGCACACTAATATTTATGGCAAAAACTGGAATCGGCCACATGTACATCAATAGGAAACCGGTGAAATTGTGGTAAAACGATATGTAAGCCTTCAGCGTAAAAATGAATGAATGACAGCCTCCCACACCACAGATAACTCCTACACATAATGTGTATCATGGGAAAATACATGCAGTAGGAATTTGCTGTACAGGAAGCTTAAAAACCAGCAAAACTAACTGAGGTTTGTTTTGGGGAGATATATATATATATATATATATATATATATATATATATATAGATATAGATATAGATATAGATATAGATATAGATATAGATATATATATATAATATACACTTATTGCACAAATCTTTGAAGGAATACAAAGGAATACGTATCAGAAGACTCAGGATGGAGTCTCCTGCCGAGACCAGCTCGGTCAGGAAGACCCTAACCCAGTGGTGCTAGAGGACTTAAAGACACACACACAGAAATATAGAGGTGTGAAGTGGGAAATCGGGGGTCTCACAGTCTTCAGAGCTGAGAGCCCCAAACAGATATTTACCCACATATTTATTAACAGCAAACCGGTCATTAGTGTTGTTTCTATAGGTATTAAATTAACTAAAAGTATCCCTTATAGGAAGCAAAGGGATGGGCTGAATTAAAGGAATAGGTTGGGCTAGTTAACTGCAGCAGGAACACACCCTTAAGACACAGATCGCTCATGCTATTGTTTGTGGCTTAAGAATGCCTTTAAGCGGTTTTCCGCCCTGGGCAGGCCAGGTGTTCCTTTCCCTCATTCTTGTAAACCTGCAACCTTCCAGCTTGGACATTAGGGCCATTATGAACATGTTACGGTGCTGCAGAGATTTTGTTTATGGCCAGTCTTGGGGCCAGTTTATGGCCAGATTTTGGGGGACTTGCTCCCAACGGTCTCCTTCTAGGGGGTGACTGGGTAGCAGCCCAGGGTAGCTTTACAGGTTTGTGTTTTACACCAGCGCTGGGCACCCTCGTAGATACTTGATTATAATTCCTTAAACAGAGTTTTCCAAATTAAAATATACCTGTTTTTTATAGAAATGAAAAAGAAAAGAATTTCAAAGTTCATTGCAAAGATTCTTAACAAGAACTACTTACATTGGAAGAAAACCACAGAGAATTGTAAGGAGCCATGTGACAGAGAGGACCAGGATGCCATGAAAATGGCATTGGCTACAAATAGGTCATTTGATCCTTGGCTCCCTGGCATCTCTCTAGATTTTCAATGATACAATGTTCAATCTGCTGTGCAAGATAATTTCATCTTCCAAAGATTTGATGTTACATTTTACCACACATTAAACTGAAATAAACTTTTACAGATTGGAAATGCACATCATTGATCAAAATAAATGAAACATGAAAAGAGTAGGGAGGAATACCCAGTGATGGAATAGCAAATATGAATGGAAAACAGAATAGGACTGCTAAAAAGAAAAAAAAATTCAGAAGCATGTAATAGCAGCGCTATTTAGAATCATAGTGGTGTCCAAATCACTTCTATCACATCTCATTCAATACCACAACAAAAGATGTTAAGTTTATTATAGAATGCCCATCAAATAGCCAGTTTTTGAAAAAAACTTGTTTCTCAATTAGAACTAACCATTTCGGGCTATAGCATCAAGCCAAAATTATTGGCATCATGCTAATAATTTTTACTAAAGTAAAATAAAGTTTACTGAAGTATGAGATTCACATTTTTGTAAATGAAAAGCAATTTGATTAGGCATTTTTTTCTGCACAGCAAAAGAAACTATCATCAATCACAGTGAACAGACATCCTACAGAATGGGAGAAAAATTTTGCAGTCTATCCATCTGACAAAAGTCTAGTATTCAGAATCCACAAAGAACTTAAGCAAATTTACATGAAAAAAAAACTTCATTAAAAAGTAGACAAAGAACTTGAACAGACACTTCTAAAGAAGACATACATGTGGCCAACAAAAATATGAAAAAAAGCTCAACATCGCTGATCATTGGAGAAATGCAAATCAAAACCACAAATGAGATACCATCTCATGTCAGTCAGAATGGCAATTATTAAAAAGTCAAGAAACAACAGATGCTGGCGAGGTTGCAGAGAAATAGGAATGCTTTTACACTGTTGGTGGAAAAGTCAATCGGTTAATCCATTGTGGAAGACAGTGACAGTGTGGTGATTCCTCAGAGATTTAGAATCAGAAATACCATTTGATCCAGCAATCGCATTACAGGGTATATACCCAAAGGAATACAAATCATTCTATTATAAAGATACATGCATGTTTACATTCATGGCAGCACTATTCACAATAGCAAACACATGGAATCAACCCAAATGCCCATCAATGATGAACTGGATAAAGAAAATGTGGTACATATACACCATGGAATATTATGCAGCCATAAAAAGGAATGAGATCAAGTCCTTTGCAGGGATATGGATGAAGCTGGAAGCCATTATCCTCAGCAAACTCACACAGGAACGGAAAACCAAACACCACATGTTCTCATTTATAATTGGGAACTGAGTAATGAGAACACATGGACACAGGGAGAGGAACAACACACACTGGGGCCTATTGGGGCAGGGTGGTGGTGGGAGGATCATTAGCAAAAATAGCTAATGCATGCCAGGGTTAATACCTAGGTGATGAGTTGACAGGTGCAGCAAACCAACATGGCACATGTTTACCTATGTAACAAACCTGCACATCCTGCACGTGTACCCTGGAACTTAAAAAAAATTAAATTAAAAGACAAGCTTAAAGAAAAAGACAAGCTGAAAGAGTTAATGAAAAATAATTAGATAAAAGAAGTCTTTGATTTTCAAAAACCTGAAACAATAGTTATAATTTTGCTTTTAACATATATTCAAAACATTTGATACTGTTCCCTTCCAGAGGTGCATCTTAATTCCCTCTCCTGAGTGTGGCTTGGACTTAATGAGGCACTTCTGATATGGCCTGGTTCTGTGTTCCCACCCAAATCTCATCTTGAATTGTTATGCGAATTGTAATCGCTACCTATTGGGGGAGGGACCACATGGGAGGTGATTGGATAATGGGGGCGGTGCCCCCATGCTGTTCTCGTGATACTGAGGGAATTCTCATGAGATCTGATGGTTTTATAAGGGGCTTTTCCCTGCTTCATTCTGCACTTCTCTCTCCTGTCATCATGTGAAGAAGGATGTGTTTGCTTCCACTTCTGCCATGACTGTAAGTTTCCTGGGGCAGGCTCCTCAGCCATGCAGAACTGTGAGTCAATTAAACCTCTTTCCTTTATAAATTACCCAGTCTCAGGTATTTCTTCATAGCAGTGTGAGAATGGACTAATATAACTTCTAACTTATAGAATAATGCTGACATAATGGTTTGTAACTCTGGGTGTAGAACCTAAAACTCACTGCGGCTTCCACCTTCTCTCTCTCTGTCTCTGGGATCATGAGCTCTGGGGGAAGCCAGCTGCTGTGCCACAAGCAGCCCTGCAGGAAGGTCCATGTGGCTGAGAACTGAGGCCTTCCGGGACCAGACAACAAAGAACTAGGCCTTTTCCAACAGCCATGTGACTGATCCATGTTTCATGTGAATCCTCAGCCCCAGTGAAGCCCTCAGATGATGCAGCCCTTGGCTGACAATTGGACTGCAACCTTGTGAGAGGCCCCGAGCAAGAAGCACTCAGGGAAACCTCTCCTGGACTCCTGACCATTGGAAACTGTGGCAGATGAGGAATATTTGTTGTTTTAAGCTAAGTTTTACATAATTTGTTATGCAATAGTAAATAAATAACACATTTTCACAAGAGAGGATGTATTATTACACATTAAATTGCATTTGCTTTAAATGTATCATCGTCATCATTATTATTTTTGAGACATGGTCTCGCTCTGTCACCCAGGCTGGAGTGCAGTGGCATGATCACCATGCACTGCAGTGTCGACCTCCTGGGTTCAAGGGACCCACTGATCTCAGCCTCCTGAGTAGCTGGGACTACCATCATGAACTACTATGCCTGGCTAATTTTCTAATTTTTTGTATAGATGGGGGTTTTGCCCAGGCTGATCTTGAACTTCTGGAGTCAACAAATCTGCCTTCCTCTGCCTTCCACAGTGCTAGGATGGCAGGCGTGAGCCACCATACCTGGCGTAAATTAATTATAAGATATTAAACATGTAACTTAGTTTTAAAAGGTAAGGAGAATTTCCATGGCTGAAGAGGATGTATTTTATGACCATTCACAATGATCACTTTACTTGAACTTCAATTTCCAACTGTGTCCGAAGTAAACACAAAAGGAAGATCCAACCCTTGCTAGGCTGATTCTATTATGCCCTCAACAACCAGCTCCTGGTCATTCACCATCCTCCAGTTATTCAATCAACTCTAATGTAGGTGCTGCTGTGAAGGGAGTTAGTGGATATAATTAAGGGTCTCAATTAGTTGACTTTAGGCTGGGTTTATCCTGCTTGGACTGTCCTAATCAGGTGAGACCTTGAAAGGACTGGGTTCTTCCTGAGCATAGAGACTCACAGTGTGAGAGGGACTCAGCATGAGGGGTTTCCTCCAGCATGGGCTTTGAAAATGAAAGGGCTGTGGGCCGGGTGCGGTGCCTCACGCCTGTAATCCCAGCACTTTGGGAGGCTGAGGCGGGCGGATCATGAGGTCAGGAGATCGAGACCATCCTGGCTAACATGGTGAAACCCTGTCTCTACTAAGAATACAAAAAAAAAAAAAAAAATTAGCCAAGCGTAGTGGTGGGTGCCTGTAGTCCCAGCTGCTTGGGAGGCTGAGACAGGAGAATGGCGTGAACCTGGGAGCCATAGCTGGCAGTGAGCCGAGATCCGGCCACTGCACCCAAGCCTGGGCTACAGAGCAAGACTCCATCTCCAAAAAATAAATAAATAAAATAAAAAATGAAGGGGCTGTGTAGGAAAGAATGCTGGTGAGGACCAGGAATCGAGCACAGCCCTCCCTGTTCTCTACATTGACAGCCAGCAAGGAACAGGGACCTCAGTCTTACAACTGCCAGAAACTGCATTCTGCCACCTCTGTATAAGCCTGAAGGAGGATTCAAAATGAAAACACAGCTTTTGGAAGCCCAGAAGAGAGATTCCATCCACAATTTTGCCCAGATTTCTGATCAAGGAACTATAAGCAGATAAATGGGTGTTGTTTCGCCAGGCATGGTAGTGCACGAATGAATTGATGAATTGATATGCACACTAGTTACATAAAATAAAAATTTTCTGAACTTTTTCCGTGTTTTGCACTTTATAATTATCTGTAATGCAATTTAATACACTCATATTTCATTCATTCAGTCGACAAAAATTAATTTAGTCCCTACGATAAACCAGATATCCCCTCATATGCTCACGTGCCTGACACTCCAGAAGTTTCTCAAGACCGAGGTGGAGACACTGGAGTGTTTTAAGTGGAGAGATGACACACTCCGACTCCCAGGAGCAGGACCACTGTGAAAAGAACAGTCACGTAACAGGTCATGGGACAGTGCTAGTGTCACAACTCACAAGTGACAGTGTGGTGGGGACTAAGGGGACAGGAGGGCCTGAAGGATGAAAAGGACGGAGAGAAGGGCTGGAGAAGCAGGAGGTGAAGAAAAGGAGCAGAGGAAAGAATTCGAAAGCAGCAGAATTCTTAGGTTTAAATACATTGTTTTATGGATTTTAATACATCCATCTACAGAGCCTAGCAGGGTGTCCTTGGCAGTTGGCCTTTAATACCTCATGTGGGTCTGCCTAAAAACTAATTTTTTAATGTTAATCAGGTTTAAAAATTACTAAGTGTTCCTATAAAATATACACAACACTTAGCAGTGGATACTTCCTAAAAACAGGCAGTGCATGAGCACTAGTGAGGGGCATTGCGACTACATTGAACAGTTGCAACTTTGAGGTGAATAAAGCCTGTACTGACTCCTGGTTGCAACGTACCTGGTTGCAAAGTACACAGTGTGCTACTTTGTATTGAGGAGATATCCTGGACTCACACAGAAACTCAGAGCTATGGAATGATGGCAAATTTAAAATATGACAAGCGGGAGTCACAGGTACACTGCAAAAGTGAAACTTAGAAGCTTTGTGAGTCCTGTTCTAACGCTTTTGGGCACATTTATACATCATGGGGCCAAAGTCACATTTTTTACCGATTAGATTCCTGATCATTCAGGGGTTACCAAGGTTCTGCTATCCAATGTATTTAATAAACAAATAAATAAATAAACTGGTCTCTATTCTGTCTCATGCACTCAGGCACAACTTTTCCCAATAAAAAAAAAAAAAAAAGGAAAACAAAAAACAGTTTCTACACCTCCATTCCCAGAGCAAGCTCACTCTCTGTCACCAAACTCCGTGGGTGACTTTTCTTCTAGAAGAGTCCAGGTGGACAGGGAGTCCAGTTCAGGGACGGAGATTCCTGGATGAAAAGTGAAGGGAGAGGGACAGGGCCCATGCCGAGGGTTTCTTCCTGGTTTCTCAGACAGCTCCTGGGCCAAGACTCAGGGAAACACTGAGACAGAGCGCTTGGCACAGGAGGAGCGGGGTCAGGGCGAAGTCCCAGGGCCCCAGGCGTGGCTCTCAGGGTCTCAGGCCCCGAAGGCGGTGTATGGATTGGGGAGGCCCCGCCTTGGGGATTCGCCACCTCCGCAGTTTCTCTTCTTCTCACAACCTGCGACGGGTCCTTTTTCCTGGATACTCAGGAAGCGGGCACAGTTCTCATTCCCACTAGGTGTCGGGTTTCTAGAGAAGCCAATCGGTGCCGCCGCGGTCCCGGTTCTAAAGTCCCCACGCACCCACCGGGACTCAGATTCTCCCCAGACGCCGAGGATGGTGCTCATGGCGCCCCGAACCCTCCTCCTGCTGCTCTCAGGGGCCCTGGCCCTGACCCAGACCTGGGCGCGTGAGTGCAGGGTCTGCAGGGAAATGGTCGGGAGGAGCGAGGGGCCCGCCCGGCGGGGGCGCAGGACCCAGGGAGCCGCGCAGGGAGGAGGGTCGGGCGGGTCTCAGCTCCTCCTCGCTCCCAGGCTCCCACTCCATGAGGTATTTCTACACCACCATGTCCCGGCCCGGCCGCGGGGAGCCCCGCTTCATCTCCGTCGGCTACGTGGACGATACGCAGTTCGTGCGGTTCGACAGCGACGCCGCGAGCCAGAGGATGGAGCCGCGGGCGCCGTGGATGGAGCGGGAGGGGCCGGAGTATTGGGACCGGAACACACAGATCTGCAAGGCCCAGGCACAGACTGAACGAGAGAACCTGCGGATCGCGCTCCGCTACTACAACCAGAGCGAGGGCGGTGAGTGACCCCGGCCCGGGACGCAGGTCACGACCCCTCCCCATCCCCCACGGAGGGCCGGGTCGCCTCGAGTCTCTGGGTCCGAGATCCTCCCCGAAACCGCGGGACCCCGAGACCCTTGACCTGGGAGAGGCCCAGGCGCCTTTACCCGGTTTCATTTTCAGTTTAGGCCAAAATCCCCGCGGGTTGGTCGGGGCAGGGCGGGGCTCGGGGGACCGGGCTGACCGCGGGGGCGGGGCCAGGTTCTCACACCATGCAGGTGATGTATGGCTGCGACGTGGGGCCCGACGGGCGCTTCCTCCGCGGGTATGAACAGCACGCCTACGACAGCAAGGATTACATCGCTCTGAACGAGGACCTGCGCTCCTGGACCGCGGCGGACATGGCAGCTCAGATCACCAAGCGCAAGTGGGAGGCGGCCCGTCAGGCGGAGCAGCTGAGAGCCTACCTGGAGGGCGAGTTCGTGGAGTGGCTCCGCAGATACCTGGAGAACGGGAAGGAGACGCTGCAGCGCGCGGGTACCAGGGGCCACAGGGCGCCTCCCGGATGGCCTGTAGATCTCCGGGGCTGGCCTCCCACAAGAAAGGGAGACAAATGGGACCAACACTATAATATCGCCCTCCCTCTGGTCCTGAGGGAGAAGAATCCTCCTGGGTTTCCAGAGAGTGACTCTGAGGGTCCGCCGTGCTCTTTGACACAATTAAGGGATGAAATCTCTGAGGAAATGAAGGGAAGACAATCCCTGGAATACTGATGAGTGGTTCCCTTTGACACTGGCAGCAGCCTTGGGCCCCGTGACTTTTCCTCTCAGGCCTTGTTCTCTGCTTCACACTCAATGTGCCTGGGGGTCTGAGTCCAGCTCTTCTGAGTCCCTCAGCCTCCACTCAGGTCAGGACCAGAAGTCGCTGTTCCCTCCTCAGGGACTAGAATTTTCCACGGAATAGGAGATTATCCCAGGTGCCTGTGTCCAGGCTGTTGTCTGGGTTCTGTGCTCCCTTCCCCACCCCAGGCGTCCTGTCCATTCTCAAGATGGCCACATGCGTGCTGGTGGAGTGTCCCATGACAGATGCAAAATGCCTGAATTTTCTGACTCTTCCTGTCAGACCCCCCCAAGACACATATGACCCACCACCCCATCTCTGACCATGAGGCCACCCTGAGGTGCTGGGCCCTGGGCTTCTACCCTGCGGAGATCACACTGACCTGGCAGCGGGATGGGGAGGACCAGACCCACACACGGAGCTCATGGAGACCAGGCCTGCAGGGGATGGAACCTTCCAGAAGTGGGCGGCTGTGGTGGTGCCTTCTGGAGAGGAGCAGAGATACACCTGCCATGTGCAGCATGAGGGTCTGCCAGAGCCCCTCACCCTGAGATGGGGTAAGGAGGGAGATGGGGGTGTCATGTCCCTTAGGGAAAGCCGGAGCCTCTCTGGAGAGCTTTAGCAGGGTCAGGGTCCCTCACCTTCCCCCCTTTTCCCAGAGCCATCTTCCCAGCCCACCATCCCCATCGTGGGCATCGTTGCTGGCCTGGTTCTACTTGTAGCTGTGGTCACTGGAGCTGTGGTCGCTGCTGTAATGTGGAGGAAGAAGAGCTCAGGTAAGGAAGGGGTGAGGAGTGTGGTCTGAGATTTCTTGTCTCACTGAGAGTTCCAAGCCCCAGGTAGAAGTGCCCTGCCTGGTTACTGGGAAGCACCATCCACACTCATGGGCCTACCCAGCCTGGGCCCTGTGTGCCAGCACTTACTCTTTTGTAAAGCACCTGTTACAATGAGGGACAGATTTATCACCTTGATGACTGTGGTGATGGGACCTGATCCCAGCAGTCACAAGTCACAGGGGAAGGTCCCCGAGGACAGACCTCAGAAGGGCGGTTGGTCCAGGACCCACATCTGCTTTCCTCATGTTTCCTGATCCCGCCCTGGGTCTGCAGTTGCACATTTCTGGAAACTTCTCTGGGGTCCAAGACTTGGAGGTTCCTCTAGGACCTTATGGCCCTGGCTTCTTTCTGGCATCTCACAGGACATTTTCTTCCCACAGATAGAAAAGGAGGGAGCTACTCTCAGGCTGCAAGTAAGTATGAAGGAGGCTGATCCCTGAAATCCTTTGGATATTGTGTTTGGGAGCCCATGGGGGAGCTCACCCACCCCACAATTCTTCCTCTAGCCACATCTACTGTGGGATCTGACCAGGTCCTGTTTTTATTCTACTCCAGGCGGCAACAGTGCCCAGGGCTCTGATGTGTCTCTCACGGCGTGAAAGGTGAGACCTTGGGGGGCCTGATGTGTGGGGGGTGTTGGGGGGGAACAGTGGACACAGCTGTGCTATGGGGTTCTTTGAATTTGATGTTTTGAGCATGCGATGGGCTGCCAAAGTGTCATCCATTACTGGGACAGATATGAATTTGTTCATGAATATTTTTTCTATAGTGTGAGACAGCTGCCTTGTGTGGGACTGAGAGGCAAGATTTGTTCACACCTTCCCTTTGTGACTTGAAGAACCCTGACTTTCTGCAAAGGCACCTGAATGTGTCTGTGTTCCTGTAGGCATAATGTGTGGAGGAGGGGAGACCAACCCACCCTCATGTCCACCATGACCCTCTTCCCCACGCTGATCTGTGTTCCCTCCCCAATCATCTTTCCTGTTCCAGAGAGGCGGGGCTGAGATGTCTCCATCTTTTTCTCAACTTTATGTGCACTGAGCTGTAACTTCTTACTTCCCTCTTAAAATTAGAATCTGAGTAAACATTTACTTTTTCAAATTCTTGCCATGAGAGGTTGATGACTTAATTAAAGGAGAAGATTCCTAAAATTTGAGAGACAAAATAAATGGAACACATGAGAACCTTCCAGAGTCCATGTGTTTCTTGTGCTGATTTGTTGCAGGGGAGGAGAATAGATGGGGCTGTGCCTAGTGGGTGCTCAGGCCAGTATGGACTTTATGTGGTCACTGCTCAGCTGGGTCATCTTTGCTCCTTCATTCTCCTTGGCCCTTCAGTAGAACCTTGTCCCACCACCACCTGTGATCACAGGGAGTTGGATGTCACCTAGGGTGGTCCCTGCATACAAATCTCATTGTGGTATCAAGAGACTAATTTTCAGACCTGTCCAGCTCTTGCCCTCCTCCCAGGGCTCTTTCCTGGATTGTAGTTTTCATCTTGTCTCCAATCTTTTTAAAGGAAGCAGATTCTGAAATTTGCAGAGAGGAGGGGTCCCATAGTTTCTCATCATAGTGAACTTTCTGTTGGAGCTCCTCTTCTGCTCTCCTACTCTTCTTCCTGCCCTGAGTTGTAGTAATCCTAGTGCTGGCTCCAATCCAAACTCATGGATTTACAAAGCAGAGTCTAATTTAGATTCATACGTGGTTGGAAAATTGTACCCATAAGCCTAGGGTTATCTTTCCTGAAGAGAAAAATATGGTTGTGTGCTGCAGTGTGCAGGAGGGTTGGTGTGGGAGGAGGTAGGGAGGGAGGGAGGACACACAAGCAGTCCTGGTGAGAAAAGCACTGGCGGCATCGATGTCCACATGAGATGATGTTGTTCTTTAGCTGCCACAAAACAGCATTTGCCCTGAGGCTACCTTAACAAAGATATTGGCTTTAGAATAGAGAAGTGCTCTACAGTGATCATTCATTCAACTGACATTTGTTGTCTGCTAGGGATATGACTGCTTTTGCGTTTAGAAAGCATCATTAAGGTGAAAACAGAAAAATTTCTGGTGTTGTGGTACATATGTTCTAGATGCTAGCTTGTCTAACCCGTAGCTCGCAGGCTGAATGTGGCCCAGGACAGTTTTGAATGTGAGGAGTTTTTGCTTTTCTGTGGCGGACCTGAGACCTGGAGTGAGTGCACCCACCTCCCTCAGGATCAGGAGTGAATGCTTTAGGAACCCTCCTTTGCAGCGACCTGCAAAAGATAGAGGGCACGGTTACTGTGAGAACCCAGAGTAGCAGCCAAAGGGGCTCAACCTTCATGGAGTTTTGGGAAAGGTTAGTAAAAGGTGGTGTCCCAGCGTCAGAACAGATGGGCAGCCAGCGAGGGCACTGCTTCATATCTATGATGGGAATGCAAGAATTGAGGAGCAGGAGACTGAGGGTGTTTGATCAAATACAAAGTCATGATCCCAGTCTCAATTCCTAGACTTCAGCCAAGCTTCAGATTCAGAATCTACAGTGGGGCTTAAGGAGGCCAGGAAATAAACCTGGACACATTATGGCCCACTGTGGGACCACTGGGTTCATAAACCCAGTCCTGGTTATCTCCCCATTCTCCACATGCATAATTGGCCTTGATGCACTGGCAAAGGGAGTCACCCCCACACTACATCCCTAGTCTGGAGAGTAAGGGCTATCATTGTGCTGAAGCCCAAAGGGAATCATCTAAAACTTCCCTCATCCCAGCCAAGCCAGAAGCAATATTGCGCCCCAGGTGGGACTTCAGGAGGGTACTGCAGGTATTGTAGGGGTGGCACTGCCATTAGAGAGCTGAAGGATGGGGGGTGGTGTTGGGATTGCCTATTATCTCCATATAATTCAGCAGTCTGTCCCTGAAGAAGCCTGATAAAGAATGAATGGAATTACTCCAGACTTGACCAAGTAGGAGTCCTGATTGCAGCTGCCATGCTGGCTGGATATCACTGCTTGGGGAGATTAATAAGGCCTCAGGCACATGGCAAACAGCCATGCATTTGGTGAGTGCATTCTTTCCCATTCCATTTAGAAAATGGATATGGAATGATTCACATTCACATGGGATTTATAATACATTTATTGATAGCTTGCCTCAGGGCTACTTTAACTCCTCAACCTTCTATAAATATCACCTTAAGAGATCTGGACAAATCAGACATCTCACAGAATACTAAATCTCTTCATTTCATTGGCAATATCACATAGATTGGGATGGATGAGTAAGAGGAGGAAAGTACGCTGAATTCTTTGGCAAAACGTGTGCACTACAGAAGGTGAAGATTAACCTTACAGAGCTTCAAGAGTGGCCACTGCAGTGAAGTGTTATGGGTCCAGTGGTTAGGGGCATGCAGGGCTGTCCCCTCCAAAGTAAAAGACAAACTTGCATCTTGCATCCTCAACAGAAGGAAGGAAGCACACTATTTGGTGAGCTTCTCTGGGTCCTGGCAACACCACATTCCACATCTAAGTATATTGTTTGGCCCACTGTCTGGGTATAATATAGGAAGAGGTCAGCTTTGAGTGCGGACTAGACAGGAAAGGACACTGCAGCAGATCCAGGCGGTGGTGTACCAGGTCATCAACTCTCAGTCCCCTGGTGCTGGGGGTGACAGCGTGGGGAAAGATGCTAGATGGAGCTGAACCAAGCAGCTGAGATCAAGTGAGCTGAGATCCCGCCCCTACACTCCAGCCTGAGCAACAAGAGTGAAACTCCATCTCAAAAAGAAAAAAAAATTAAAAGGATAAGCACCCTCCCACATCAGAGATAACTCCCCAACACATAATATACATGCGGTGTGAGTTCTCTGTATGGGGAAGTTAAAAAAATACAGGTCAAACTGTGATTTGGGTATTATTGTAAAAATCTTCAGTGACAATGCCAAGGAATAGCAAATACAAGACTCAAGACATAGGTTCCTTTTAGGGGATAGGATTGGACAACAGCCTAGGGTGGCTTCATAGGTTCTGTTTCTTATGCCAGGAGGGGATATCCAGGTAGTTAGTTACTTGATCATAAAACTTTATTTATTTATTTATTTATTTATTTATATATTTTGAGTCTCGCTCTTGTTGCCCAGGCTGGAGTACAGTGGCATGATCTCAGTTCACTGCAACCTCCGCCTCCCAGGTTCAAGGGATTCTCCTGCCTCAGCCTCCTGAGCAGCTGGGATTGCAGGCAAATGCCACCACTCCCAGCTAATTTTTGTATTTTTAGTAGAGACGGGCTTCACCATGTTGACCAGGTTGGTCTGGAACTCCTGACCTCAGGTGATCCACCCACTTCAGCCTACCAAATTGCTGAGATTACAGGCATGAGCCACCACTCCTGGCCCACAAATCTTTAAAGTGGTATTTTTCAAAATGCACCTTGTGTGCCATTCCTGATTGATTATTTGGAAATGAAAGAGAAAAGAAAATGCCAAAGTTCATCACAAGCATCCTTTGCGATAACTACTCGTAGTAAAACAAAGCCGCAGCTGGCCGGGCACGGTGGCTCACTTCTGTGATCCTAGCACTTTGGGAAGTCGAGACCTGTGGATCACGAGATCAGGAGTTCGAGACCAGCCTGACCAACATGGTGAAACCTCGTCTTTACTAAAAATACAAAAATTAGCTGGGCGTGTTGGTGCGTGTCTGTAATCCAAGCTACTCAGAAGGCTGATGCAGGAGAATCGCTTGAACCTGGAAGGCAGAAGTTGCAGTGAGCTGAGATCCTGCCATCGCACTCCAGCCTGGGTGACAGAGCCATACTCCATCTCAAAACAAACAAACAAACAACCACAAAAAACAAGCCACAGCCAATTTTAAGGAGCCATGTGAGAGGACCAGGATGCCATGAAAAACAGCCTTGGCTACAAATAGGTCATTTGATCCTTGGCTAGTTGGCAACTCTCTACATTTTCTGATACACAGTGTTCAATCTGATAGGTAAGGCAATAGTATCTTGCAAAGAATTTGAGAATTTGATATGTTGCTCACATTTTACCACACATACAAGTGAATTAAACTTTTACAGAATAGAAAAAAAGCATTGTTGAGCAAAATAAATTAAATGAAAAGACATAAATGAATAACTAGTGATGAAATAGCAATAAGAATGGAAAACACGAAAGAGCTGCTTTTAAAGCAACATTAGAAGCACAAAATAACAGTGTTTTTCAGAATCATACTGGAGTCCAAATCACTTCTACCACATCTAATTAAAAACCACAGTGAAAGATGTTAAACTGATCACAGGATGCCCACTGAATAGCCAGTTACTGAAAAATCTTGTTCCTAGATTGAATTTAACCATTTCCACCTACCACATCAAACCAAATCATTGTCATGATGCTAAGCCAGTTGTACAGACAAAGATGTGAGACTCACATTTTTCTAATTGCAAAGCACCCTGATTAGGCAAATATTTTTGTAGATGCTTGAGTCAGAAAATTGTCATTTTGGGCATTCTTTTTTTTTTTTTTTTTTTTTTTTTGCCTTCAAGCATCTGTTTAACAAAGCACATCTTGCACCGCCCTTAATCCATTTAACCCTGAGTGGACACAGCACATGTTTCAGAGAGCAGGGGGTTGCGGGTAAGGTTATAGATTAACAGCATCCCAAGGCAGAAGAATTTTTCTTAGTACAGAACAAAATGGAGTCTCCTATGTCTGCTTCTTTCTACACAGACACAGCAACAATCTGATTTCTCTGTCTTTTCCCCACATTTCCCCCCTTTCTATTCGACAAAACCGCCATCGTCATCATGGCCCCTTCTCAATGAGCTGTTGGGTACACCTCCCAGACGGGGTGGCGGCCGGGCAGAGGGGCTCCTCACTTCCCAGACGGGGTGGCCGGGCAGAGGCGCCCCCCACCTCCTGGACGAGGTGGCTGGCCGGGCGGGGGCTGCCCCCCACCTCCCTCCTGGACGGGGCGGCTGCCGGGCAGAGACGCTCCTCACTTCCCAGACGGGGTGGCTGCTGGGCGGAGGGGCTCCTCACCTCTCAGACAGGGCGGCCGGGGAGAGACGCTCCTTACCTCCCAGACGGGGTGGCTGCTGGGCGGAGGGGCTCCTCACATCCCAGACAGGGCGGCGGGGCAGAGGCGCTCCCCACATCTCAGATGATGGGCGGCCGGGCAGAGACGCTCCTCACTTCCTAGACCGGATGGCGGCCGGGCAGAGGCTGCGATCTTGGCACTTTGGGAGGCCAAGGCAGGCAGCTGGGAGGCAGAGGTTGTAGCGAGCCGAGATCACGCCACTGCACTCCAGCCTGGGCAACATTGAGCACTGAGTGAGAGAGACTCCGTCTGCAATCCCGGCACCTCAGGAGGCCAAGGCTGGCAGATCACTCCCAGTTAGGAGCTGGAGACCAGCCTGGCCAACACAGTGAAACCCCGTCTCCACCAAAAAAATACGAAAACCAGTCAGGCATGGTGGTGCGCGCCTGCAATCCCAGGCACTCTGCAGACTCTAAATTATTCAACGCCTCAGACACTAACTTTCCAAGGAATAGGAGATTATCCCAGGTGCCTGTGGCCAGGAGGTGTCTGGGTTCTGTGCTCCCTTCCCCACCCCAGATGTCCTATCCATTCTCAGGATGGTCACATGGGTGCTGCTGGAGTGTCCCATGAGGAATGCAAAGTGCCTCAATTTTCTTACTCTTCCCTTCAGAATCCCAGAATACATGTGTGATCCACTACCCCATCTCGGACCATGAGGCCGCCCTGAGGTGCTGGGTCCCGGGCTTCTACCATGTGGAAATCACAGTGACCCAACTGTGGGATGGGGAGGACCAAATTTAGGACGCAGAGCTTGTGGGGACCAGACCTGCAGGGTATAGAACCTTCCAGAAGTGGGCAGCTGTGATGCTGTCTTCTAGAGACAAGTAGAGATACACATGCCATGTGCAGCAGGAGGCACTGCCAGAGCCCCTCACACTGAGATGGGCTAAGGAGATGAATGAGGGGCCATGTCTCTTCTCAGGGAAAGCAGGAGCCCTTCTGGAGGCCTTCAGCAGGGTCAGGGCTGAGGCCTGGGGGTCAGGACCCCTCACGTTCCCCTCCTTTCTTAGGGCCATCTTCCCAGCCCACATTCCTCATCATGGGCATCGTTACCGTCCTGGTTGTTCTAGGTGCTGTGGTCACTGCTGTGATGTGGAAGAATAAGACCCCAGGTAGGAAAGGGGTGAGTTCCAAGATTTCTTCTTCCATTCGTGGATTTCAAGCTCCAGATGGAAGTTGGCTCATTTCCTGCCTAGTTGTGAGACACCATCTCCACACACATTTACCCTGTTCAGATGCCCTGTCAACTCTCACTCTTTTGTAAAGCACCTGTGAAATTGAAGGACAAATTTATCACCTTGATTGTGATCATGGGAACCTGACTCCCAGCAGTCACAAGTCAGGAGAATGTTCCTGCTGAGGACAGATGTCAAAAGGACATTTGGTTCAGCTTCAACACATCCTCTTCCCTCGGGTTTTCTGATCCTGACCTGGGTCTGCAGTCACAGTTCTGGAAACTCCTCTAGGATCTCATGGCCCTGCCTCTTCCCTGGCCTCTCACAGTTTGTTTTCTTTCCTCATATGGAAAAGGAGTCAGCTATGCTCAGGCTTCAAGTAAGTGTGGTAGGGGTGGGAGAGTGATTCCTGAGATCCTTGGAATAGTGTAGACAGGAGCCCATGGGGGAGGTCACCACCCCACAATTCCTCCTTTAGTCACATCACCTGTGGGCTCTGACCAGACTTTGTTTTTGTTCCACCCCAAACAGGAACAGTACCCAGGGCTCTGATGTGTCTCTCAAGTCTTGTAAAAGTGACACCTTAGAGGGCCTGAAGTGAAGGAGGAGTTGGGGCAGATGGGACACAACTAGGCTCTAGAGAGTCTTTGATTTGGAATTTTTCAATGTGTGGTGGGCTGTTCAGTGTCACCACTTACCATGACTGACTTGAATTTGTTCACGAATATTTTCTTTCCAAGACTGCCTTGTGAGGGACTGAGATGCAAGATTTGTTCATGGCTCCACTTTGAGACTTCAAGGGCCTCTGTTTTCTCTTTCTGCCAAGGCATCTGAATGTGTCTATGTCCCTGGTAACATGTGAGAAGTGGAGAGACCAGCCCACCCTCATGTCCACCATGACCCCTGATATTGTTTGGATCTGTGTCCCCACCCAAATCTCATGCTCACTTGTAATCCCTAATGTTGGAGGTGGTGCTTGGTGGGACGTGATTGGCTCATGAGGATGGATGATTCATGAATGGTTTAGAATCATCTCTTTCATGCTGTTCTTGTGATAGTTCTTGGAGGCATTGTGCCACCTCCCTAGGGATCTGTGGAACTTTAAACTTGAGAGTGATGATTAAGGGTATCTGATGGAAGAAATTTCTCAGTAGCATAGAATTCAGGATTTGGTCTGGCTGCCTGTAATAGCCTATGTGCATATGTGTGAGCAAAGAAATGACCCAAAACTGGAACTGATATTTAAATGGGGAAATTTAATACCCAGGAAAATTCTTAGCGGAGCTGCAGCAACAGGACCCCTGCCAGGACTACTAAATGGTAGAGCCACTGGCTATGTGCAACCTCAGCCTGGAAAAGCCATAGGCATTCAATTTTCTCCCATGACAGCAGCTATATGGGTTATGTTCAGCAAAGCCATAAATGTGGAGCTGCAAATGGCATTAGGAGCCCAGCAGTTGCACCAGCCACTGTGCTCTGGATTCAAAATATAGAGTCAAAGGAGATTCTTTTAGACCTTTAAGTTTTAATGTCTGCCATGATGAGTTTCAATCTTATGAGGAAACTGCATTCATTTCTTTTGGCCCATTTATATACCTTTTGGAATGGAAATGTACAAGAAATGTCTCTTCCACTGTTTTATTAATATTTTAGATGCAAATAACATTTTTTAAAAAAATTTTACAGGCTCAAAGCTATAAGAATTTACCTTGCGTCTCAGATGAGACTCTAGAATTTTGAGTTGATGCTGGAACAACCTAACACATTTGGGACAATTGGGAGTAGATTATTATATTTTGCAATGTGAGAAGAACATGACCTTTGGCTGGCTAGGGAGGGGATGCAATGATATAAACATTTATCCCCTGATACCTCATGTTAAAATCTAACGCCCACTGTGGGACTTGGGGCCTAATGGCCACCATTTGGGTCATGGTGACCAATCTTTTATGAATCGAGAGATACTGCCCTCTCTCAGGAATGAATGAATTGTTGCTCTATTATTTTCCAAGAGAGCTAGTTGTTAAAAAGACCCTGGCAACTTCCTACTCTCTGTGTTCCTCTGTTACCATGTGATCTCTGCATATACCAGCTCCCCTTTGTCTTCTGCCATGAGTGGAAGCAGCCTGAGGCCCTCACTAAATGCGCAAACATTTCCAGACATCAGAATCTTGAGCCACATGAACCTCGTTTATATAAATTAGTCAGTCTCAGACATTTCTTTATAGCAACACAAAATGGAAAAAGATAACCCTCGCATCACAGGTATGTGTCTCTGGCAGCTAGCCACCGTTCTTAAGATATCCAGGATCCACTCAGCCAAGAGTCTTCTCATCAGTACTCTAAAGACACTCTTATCACTCAAGAGAGTCTAAGGTTTTTAGGAGAAACCAGGGACAAAGACTAAATGTTTTTGTGATAACTCAGATTGCCCACTTTTCTTTGACCACATATCTTTTACAGGAAAAAGGATTGTAACAGTAAAGAGGTATTGGCATATTATCAGAGTCTCATCCATTCATTCAAAATTAGGCCAGTTTATCATCCTCTTGTATGAATATGTCTCCCAGAATGAAATCACTCAGCTTTGCTGACAACACTCAATCTTACCAGGTTCCAAAAACAAGGATGGTCTCAGGGACATACAGCTTCACTCTTTTAGGCATCCCGTATAATTGACCTAAGTGACAATATCTTCTCTTGCTCACACCACCTTTGAGGAGTTAAGCTAATATTGAATTTTTCTCATTATATAACCCTTTGATTTATTCACTTACCCTCAGCCACTATTCCTCCCTCTGTCCTTTTATATCAGTTGTTTCCAGGTTTGGGAGTGACATTAGGTTTGTCTGCTGGGCTGGCCTAGACTGCAGGCAGCAATAGTATTCTAGCATGTCTTCCCTCAGTCTAGTCTTGATCATAGAGGGTAGGTTATATAGGTAAGGAACTAGTGGGGGCTATCAGACCACCAGGCTATATAACTCTACTTACTGTTAATCCTAACTTTTCAGATGAAATGAATACTTGAGAATTCTTACATAAAGGTGTAAAAATATAGTTATGGTTTTTCGCTTAGGGATAATTCCTGTTTCTGGCACTTTTATTTACATCCCTATTCCTGGTACTATGGCATAACATATGAAAAAATAAATTTGAGGTGAAGTGTAGTCTTTATTCCAGCATCCTCTCCCCTTCAGAAGAATTGTATGTATCGTCGTAACAGCATCGTCCTGATCCATCAGGTAAAAGAGAGGATGCTACCTAGTGGAGTTATTCTTGCAGCCCCACTCATGTTGACAGCGAGCACATTCATGAAGATATAAAAGCCAGTCCTTCATGTTTATATTGCCCAACAATTAGATTGGCAGTTTTTAGACAAACAATGTTTCAATTGACCATTTCAATTTTCTATCAAATTTTCCCCTGAGGAGGACATGTCCCTCTGCATTGTTGGCCGTTTGAGGCTGTAAAGTGTGTTTTCTTGTGTAAAGAAGTGTGACTCGGCAGTCCAAATTGGTGCAACCTCTTCTTTTCTGGTCCTTGTATAGCCCTTGAAGCATTGACATCTACCCCTGGTT